>NC_000010.11:11525151-11676666 GCF_000001405.40 Homo sapiens | reverse complement strand
TTCCTGGTCCTCCTTCATCTCATCTCTCCTTCCCACCCCTCCTTGAAATAAACCCAGATTTCCCTCTTCTTCCTGAATCTCCCAGCAAGGTCCAGAACATTGCTCTGCCCTTAATCACTCAGGCTAGAACCGTGGAGTTTTATTTCACTCTTTCTGCTTTCTCTCTCTGTCTGATCCGTTGCTGGGTTCTGTTGATTTGACCTCAGATAAGTCTATTGTATTTGTTCTCTCCAATGTATCTCCACCACCTCTTCCTCTTTCAGTGTTTAATGGTTTCTTCCCAAGTGCTCTCTGCTCCATCAGCTTTCTCTCCAGTGGCCAATCCACTATGATCAGTAGTCATTGTATTAGTCTGTTCTCACACTGCTATAAAGAAGTACCTGAGACTGGGTAGTTTATAAGAAGAGAGGTTTAATTGGCTCACGGTTCTGCAGGCTGTACAGGAAGCATGGCAGCATCTGCTTCTGGTGAGGCCTCAGGAAGCTTCCAATCATGGTGGAAGGAAAATGAGGAGCCAGCACTTCACATGGCCGGAACAGGAGGAAGAGAGCGAGGCAGGAGGTGCCACACACTGTTAAACAAGCAGATCTCACGAAAACTCATTCGCTTTCACTAAGACAATCCCCAAGAGGGTGGCACTAGGACATTCATGAGAAATCTGCCCTCACGATCCAATTACCTCCCACCAGGCCCCACCTCCAGCATTGGGGATTACATTTCAACGTGAGATTTGAGGGGGGGACACAGATCCAAACCATATCAGTCATCTTTCTAAAAGATACTGGGTATGTCAATCACCTGCTCAAAGAAACCATCAAATTCGATAGAATGGAGCTATGGTTTCCTTATCCTAGTACTCAAGGCCCTCTGTGATTCTCCCCCAGCCACCTTGCTATGCTCATTTTAGATTCCTTCTCCCCTGAGATTCCCTATTCCTATCATTCAAGATACTTTCATCATTGAATATCCTTGGCTGCCATCTTTCTTCCTTAGCTAATGCATTTCTCTTATTTAGAATTCCCTTACTCTCTCCAAGTAACTGAATCCTTCTCCATCTTCAAGACCTAACCTAAATGTCACTTCTATGCAATGTTCCTTGAATTTGTCCAGACCTATCTCTTCCCCAAACAACAATCAAAGCAATCTTTTCCCAATACTAAGTGGAGTATTTCTTGCCTTGTCTTGAAGCCCTGTACTGGCTACCCGTTGCTCTTATAATAAAGATAAACACTCTTAGCATTGCCTGCAAGGCCCTGGTACATCTGCCTACATTGCACTTTCCAACCTCCTTCCTCACCACCCCTGTGATGGTTAATTTTTTGTGTCAACTTGACTGGGCCTGGATATTTGATCAAATATGATTTCTGGTGTGTCTGCAAGGGTATTTTTGCATGAGATTGATTTTTTTTTTTTTTTTTTTGAGGCAGAGTCTTGCTCTGTCTCCCAGGCTGGAGTGCAGTGGTGGTATCTCGGCACATTGCAACCTCCGCCTCCTGGGTTCAAGTGATTCTCCTGCCTCAGCCTCCCAAGTAGCTAGGATTACAGGCACCTGCCACCATGCCTGGTTAATTTTTGTATTTTTAGTAGAGACAGGGTTTCACCGTGTTAGCCAGGCTGGTCTTTAACTCTTGGCCTCATGTGATCCACCCACCTCAGCCTCCCAAGTGCTGGGATTACAGGCATGAGCTACTGTGCCTGGCCTGAAATTACTTTTTTAATGCCTGTGTCTCTTTCCAGACTCTAAACTTCTTGAGGGCAGGGTCCTTGACAGTCTTTTTCCTCCCCGTAGCCTCAGCACACAGCAAAGGGCCATGAATGTGATTCAAGGATTTTTGCTCCTTAGTTCAGCTTAATCTGGGTTCTTGTCTCACAGCCAGGAAAAAATAGGCACGTGGACACATTGAAGGGTGAGGAGGGCTGAATTGATTAAGCAAAAGGAAAGCTCTCAGTTAAAGGCAGGGTCCTGCCTGCAGGCTTCCGCCTCACAAATTGAATGCCAGGCTGCCACCCATGAGTCCAAAAGGCCAGGCTCCTCCCCTGCCTAAGGGGAATTCCTGGTGGGTCCACCCCATTCTTCCAGTGGGCAGGTGGGCCCTTGGTCTGAGCCACTCCACATTGGTTTATTTCCCTTACTGCGCAGGTGTGAAGGGATGGAATTTTTGACTGTGGGCTTGTTTAGATAAGCCCCCTGTGCACAATGACCTGGGCAGGTCGGGGGTTCTCTGGGGACCCTTCCCTATTGGCCTGGCCATTTGGCTGGCTCCTGCCTCTATCAAATGGGGGAACGAATGAGTGACTAGATTCCTGTGCTTGTGGCTGGAATGACACTGAAGGGATTCTGTTCTGCAGAAGATAACCAAATCGGCAGGGTAAGAAGAGACGTCAACTGCCTGCCTGCTGTAATCTGTGTTAAGAAATGTCAATCCTGAAGAAAAAGATGTTTTTCATCTGTTCCTTCCAGTTAAAAAAAAAAAATCACTGTTGCTCTATCACAGCTAAGATAACATTCAATCTGATTAAGGCGACAAGGTGTTTCCGGTTGGGTAATCTTGCTCATCGTGGTTCCTAAAGTGTGTGCCCAGCTGGATGGTAATAAATGACTAAGAATCAGGGCAGATGAAATCCTAATTTTTGTTTCTTCATGTCTATTTGTCTCCCACTTTCCATAATGACTTCCATATGGTGATAAACATGATTTATAGCTGTGTTTTTTAGTTAATATGTGTGAATTGTGGCTCTCTAACACGCCTCCTTGTTTTTACTTTGCAATCTTTCATAGGAAGCGTGTTGTTCTCTGGCACTGAGCACCCCCCAAACGCTGGGCAAAATGAGGCTGAATTCACAGCCGCTGAGTTTCCCACAGGCCAACCACACCATTGCTCCAAAAGACCTTGAAGTTCCCTCCTTCCACCTCCTCCACCTCTTACCTTCCTTCTTCCTCTCACACGCTGACTTGGCCAGTTTCCATCAGAGGTTTGGAATGGGATATTTCTCTCATTCAGCTACAGCGTAAGAAGTTCTCTTTGCAGTATTACAAAGGACACCAGATGAACTTAACTGCAGAAGTGGGCCCCCAGATAGGAGGCTTTGTTCCTTCCTGTAGCCTCAGCACACAGCACAGGGCCACATAGGAGGCCATCGACTTGTTGACAAATGTATCTTGTGGGTCTTCCTGAGATCTGTGCTATGGTAGATGCTAGAGAGCTACAGAGGCTCAGCATCGTCTGGCTGTTTCTAATGAATGAATATTTAGTGGATACTTGTCATGTGCAATGCAGAAAGCAGCCGAGGGAGCTGGAAAACTCATCCATTGAAGTGGGGCATATTGGGAAGAAAGGGAGAACGGAAGGAAGAAAGGAAGAAAGGAAGGAAGGAGGGAGGAAGGGAGGGAAGGAAGGAGGAAGGCAGAGAAGCCAGGTAGGAAACTTGCTGTTCTTTGGTGTGAGCATGGTGTTCACATTGACAAATTGTAAAGAAAACACGAAACCCTCACAGGACCCTTTTCTGCTTGTGGTCCCTGTGCCTGGCTGCCCAGATGTCTCGGGGAGCACTGTTCCCCCAATATCTTCAGTGCCTACTCCCTTACCTTCTTCAGGTCTTTCCTCAAATATTACCTCTTCCATTAAGCCTCTCTGATTATGCTATTTAAAATTGCAATCCGGCTGGGCGTGGTGGCTCACGCCTGTGATCCGAAAACTTAGGGAGGCCGAGGCGGGCAGATCGCTTGAGGCCAGGAGTTCAAGACCAGTCTGACCAACATGGTGAAATACTGTCCCTACTAAAAATGCAAAAATCAGCCAGGCTTGGTGGTGTGCACCTGTAGTCCCAGCTCCTCGGGAGACTGAGGCAGGAGAATGGCTTGAGCCCGGGAGGCGGAGGTTGCAGTGAGCCAAGATTGCGCCACTGCACTCCACCCTGGACGACAGAGCGAGACTCCATCTAAAAAAAAAAAAAAAAAAAAAAGTGCAATCCCCACCCCGAAACGTTTCCTGCTTTGCATTTGCAAATCCTCTTTGACCTTCCCAACTGTTTCTTCTTTTATAGACTTAACATCTTCCCACATACCACAGGCACACCTAGTTGTTGTTTTTCTTGTTTTGATTTTTTTTTTTTTTTTGAGACAGAGTCTCGCTCTGTCACCCAGGCTGGAGTGCAGTGGCGCGATCTTGACTCACTGCAACCTCTGCCTCCCGGGTTCAAGCAATTCTCCTGCCTCAGCCTCCCTAGTACCTGAGACTACAGGCACACGCCACCATGCCCGGCTAATTTTTTGTATTTTAGTAGAGATGGGGTTTCACCGTGTTGCCCAGGCTGGTCGCGAACTCCTGAGATTAGGCGATCCACCCACCTCAGCCTCCCAGAGTGCTGGGATTACAGGCGTAAGCCACCGTGCCCGGCCAGGCCCACATCGTTTTATTGTGCATCCCTTTATTGTGCTTTGCAGATATTGTACTTTTTACAAAATGGAAGGTTTGTGGCAGTCTTGCATGGAGCAAGCCTGTTGGTGCTGTTTTTCCAAGACCCATGTGCTCACTTCGTGTCCCTGTGTCCCATTTTGGTAATTGTCACGGTATTTTAAGCTTTTTCGTTATTGTTATATCTCTGATGGTGGTCTGTGATCTTCGCTGTTACTATAGTAATTGTTTCAGGGCACCAAGAATTGTGCTCATAAAATGGGGAACTTAATCGATAAATGTTGTGTGTGTTCTGACTGTTCCACTGATGGCCGCTCCCTGTCTCTCTCCCTCTCCTTACACCTGCCTATTCCTGAGATACAGAAATATCGAATCAGGCCAATTAGTGCCCTACGATGCCTCTAAGTGTTCAAGCGAAAGGAAGAGCGTTGTACATCTCTCACTTTAAATCGCAAGCTGGACATGATGAAGCGTAGTGAGGAAGGCATGTCCAAAGCCAAGACAGGCTGAAAGCTAGGCCTCTTGAACCAGTTAGCTGAGTTATGAATGAAAAAAAGTTCTTGGGGCTGGGTGTGATGGCTCACGCCTGTAACCCCAGCACTTTGGGAGGCCGAGGTGGCCTTGAGGCCAGGAGTTTGAAACCAGCCTGGCCAACATAGTGAAACCCCCATTTCTACTGAAAATACAAAAATTAGCTGGGTATGGTGGCACGTGCCTATAGTCCCAGCTACTCAGGAGGCTGAGGCAGGAAAATCACTTGAATCTGGGAGGCAGAGGCTGCAGTGAACCGAGATTGCACCACTGCACTCCAGTCTGGGCGACAGAGTAAGGCTCCGTCTCAAAAAAAAAAAAAGTGCTTGAAGGAAATTAAAAGTGCTACTCCAGTGAACCCATGAATGATCAGAAAGCAAAACAACCTTATTGCCGATTATGGAGAAATTGGTAATCAGTCTGTAGCTGTCAACATCGAGCCGCAGCCCTCCACCAGCTGAAAGAGTTGCTGAAGGCTTAGATGATGGTTAGCTTTTTTTTTTTTTTTTTTTTTTTAGCAATAAGGTATTTTAAAAATTAACTTAGTATGTACATTGTTTTTTAAACATAATACTATTGCACACTTAATAGACTCTGGTAAAACATCAACATAATTCTTATATGCACTGGGAAACCAAAAAAATTGAGTGGCTTGCTTTATCGTGATAATTCACTATTGCAGTGGCCTAGAACTGCAATATCTCTGAGGTCTGCTTGTATATAATACACTTATTTATTGTGGATATGAGTTAGGCTTGCTCCCATCCCCACTAGAGTGTAAGCTCTGCAAAGTTTATCTGTCTTATTCGCTGATGTATCTTAAGTGCCTAGAACAGTGCCTGGCATGTGATAGATGCCATTTGCATTCAAGTGGCAGGAGTTTGGATGATTGCGGTCTGGACTTCCGATGCCGAAACCGGGGAATGAATGGAGGAAGTGAGACTCTGGATGAAACAGGAGCAGGTCAAATTTAGACAACGGAAGGCCACAGGGATCCATACCCCCAGTGGGGTGCCCCACAGGCAGAGGCGCAAATAAAACGTCGGTGAGAAGCCCAGCCCGTGGGTCCTGGAGAACTAGGATGAAGTGGGAGGGAGGGGTGGGAGGCTGAGAACCGGGAAAGCTGGGCAGGGGCGTGCGGACTTTTTGTGGTGAGCCTCAAAGAGACTTGGGAGTGGCAAGATAAAAGCTTTGTTTTAGAAGAGCTACGCAGCTGCCAAATATAGGCTGGACTGCAAAGTGGAGTCAGGGAAAGCCAGAGACACCTGCTGGGAAGTTGTTAGCCAGTGGTCAGGGAAGGTCTGAACAAGGCGATCATAAAAGATCATCTGAAACAGATTTTGGAAGAAGAAACAGATTTTTTTCTGATTTTTTATTATGAAAAGTTTCAAGCATACAAAAATATGTAATAATTATCACCATACATATACATATGTGTGTATATACATATTTGTATGTGGATTCAACAGCTCCAACAACTGAATTTTAATTGGATTTTATGTCATTTACCAAGAACCTACAAATGGTGGGTCACAGTAGGTACATTCTAATACAGAAAACATTTTTCCAATTGTTACAAGACCTAGGATTCGACGTCGCATCATATTTTCTTATTATAATTTCAATAGAGTCAAGACTATAATAGCATTTTAAGCATTCTAGGTCCTTGAATATGAACCTCTGTGCAAAGTCACCATTCATTAAATTACTGGTGAAGGGAATGGGATGCTGTTTGGCTTAGTGTGCCTGTGATTGTAATTTTTGTCAGCAAAATAGGTTTTGTTGGTTGCTGTTTTTTGAGATGGGGTCTCTGCTTGTCACCCAAGCTGGAGTGCAATGGCACAATCTCAGCTCACTGTATACTCGACCTCCCTGGCTCAAGGGATCCTCCTACTGCAGCCTCCTGAATAGCTGGGAACACAGGCATGCACCACCATGCTGGCTGATTTTGTTTATTTTTTGCAGAGACAAGGTCTCGCTATATTGCCTAGGCTGTTCTTCAGTGCCTGAGCCCAAGCAATCCTCCCACCTCAGCCTCCCAAAGTGCTGGGATTACAGGCAGGAGCTGCTGAACCTGGCCATAGCCACTGTGCTCGGCCAAGCAAAATAGTTTTTAAACATTCATGTTCGCTGGAGAGAGAGGAAAAAATATTGTTTTGTTCCCCTCTACAGAAAACAAAGGCTTCTGTGATCAATATTTTATGTCAAACATCCTGTGAGGATGAAGGGCCCTTCTATGCTTCACCATTTTAACCTCTCATTTGGAAAAGCAAAAAGGTGAGAGAGTGAACTGTGAAAGCGAAACTGCTGAGGAAAATGATACTCAGCCTGACATGTTGTTACTTCTTATTTCCAGCTTTCTTCCTTTCCCTAGTCTTCTGGTTTGTTTGTTTGTTTGTTTTCTCAGCCTGACCCAGTGTTACTTTCTATGTCAATTCTAGGCCTGGGAGAAGCTGCGTTCGCAAAATCTCTCCTGGATGACTTGTTCAGAAGCCAGTTCAGTAAATTCAAACTGTTCCAGAGTCCCCTTTTGAAAACCACAGATGCCGTGGACCCACTAAGGTTGAGCTGTGCTGCGGTGAAGTGTTTTGTGTTCTTTGTGTAATGAAACTCCCCAGATAAAGGACTTGGAATTGAGCTTTTGAACTACAGATGGTCGTGTTCCAGTGAGGATCCTGGCCACTTAGTTCCCAGAATCCTTGACCCTGGGCCTGTGAATTCCTCATTCTGAGAGGGTCTGGATGATGTTAGTGGATACTACGCTGTTTCCAAGTAGATAGCCGGAGCCTCCAGCTGATAGACCCAAGGGTCAAATGGTCTGGAAGTGGAGTGGGTGAGGGAGAGGACTGGCCCATTCTTTGGGAAGAAGTTCCATCCTTCCCCACTTACAATCCCTCAGTCATTCTATCTATTTATTTGTCTGGCTCATGAGAGGACAGATGTTCTTGTTCCTTTTTCCCATTCTTTTAAAATTCATTTTTAATTGAACGTTTAACACATGAATACACTCTCGTAAAAAAAAAAATTCATTGCAGATAAAGACAAAAATCTCCCTTGATTCTTGCTGTGGTCTGAAACTGTCCCCCAAGGTTCTTATGTAGAAACTTTTTTTTTTTTTTGGGGGACAAGGTCTCGCTCTGTTGTCCAGGCTGGAATGCAGTGGCTCAATCATGGCTTAGTACAGCCTTGAACTCCTGGGCTCAAGCGATCCTCCCACCTTAGCCTCCAAAGTAGCTGGGACCACGGGCATGCACCACCTGGGGCCTGGGTAATTTTTAAAATTTTCTGTAGAGACAGGGTCTCCCTATGTTGCCCAGGCTGGTCTCAGCAGTCCTCCTGCCTCAGCCTCCCAAAGTGCTGGGATTACAGGTGTGAGCCACTGCGCTCATGTCTTATGTAGAAACTTACTAGCCAATGTGATAGTATTAAAAGTTGGGGCCTTTAGGAGGTGATTCAATCACTTAGGGCCCTTATAAAAGGGTGTGAAGGAGTGGATTCATTCCCTTTTCCATCCCTTCTTCCAGGTGAGGACGCAGTGTTTGTCCCCTCCAGGAGACACAGTGTTCAAGGCGCCATCTTGGAAGCAGAGACCAAGCCCTTGCCATACTAAACAGGCTAGCACTGTGATCTTGGACTTGTCAGCCTCCACAATGGTAAGAAATAAATTTCTATTGTTTATAATTTACCCATTCTGTGGTATTTTGCTGTAGCAGCTCAAATGGACTCAAACACTTCCCCAGCCACCAGCCCACTTCCTCCTAATTCTATTTTCAGTTCGGTTTAATCTGTCCAGATTTTCTTGTCTGCATTTACATGACCATATTTATATACAGATGTATATAGTTTTCTGCAGACATTTACATAAATAATGTCATGCTCTCTGTGGTGTTCTACAACGTACAGCTTTCAGTTAACGATATGTCTTTCCCTAAAACCATTTATGTGGTCTTTTCCATATAAATCTTCATTTTTTTTTTTTTTTGACATGGAGTCTCTCTCTGTCACCAGGCTGGAGTGCAGTGGCGTGATCTTGGCTCCCTGCAACCTCCACCTCCCAGGTTCAAGCAATTGTCCTGCCTCAGCCTCCCGAGTAGCTGGGACTACAGGTGCCCGCCACCACGCCCGGCTAATTTTTGTATTTTTAGTAGAGACAGGGTTTCACCATGTTGGCCAGGATGGTCTTGATCTCTTGACCTCATGATCTGCCTGCCTCAGCCTCCCAAAGTGCTGGGATGACAGGCGTGAGCCACCGTGCCTGGCCTACATTTTCATTCTTTATTTTACTGCTGGAATTCAACCAGTCTCCCTAATGATGGCTATGTAAATTGTTTCTATTTTTGTTTATATTTTAAACATCGTTGTAATAAACATTTTTTGATGGTTTGTGCACACACCTGAGTAGCTCTCTAGGACAGATGGAAACCAGGACAGATACCTGGTAGTGAATTGCTGGTTAAAGGCATGGACTTTTAATAAAGATGGATAGTGCCCAGTTGCCATCCAAAACAAGTGGTATAAGTATAGATCAACAGTGCATAGGAGAGAACATATTTCTCTACCTTGGATATGGACAATTTTGAAATCTTTACCACTCTGCTTTGGACAGACATCATATCCCATCATTTACTATAATTGGCATTTCTATGGGAATTAGTGGGATTGAACAACTGCATTCACCATTAGTATTTTCTTGTGTGAATTGCCATGATATTCTTAAATCTGTGTTGACTTTCAAACACACATCCCCTCTATCTTTTATTTCTCACTAAGATTGCCTGTTTTTTTTATTTCAGCAAATGTGTGCACGCATAATTACAGAAATATGTGTGTTGTTTGAGGGAGTTGAAACGGAAATGCTTCTAGGACCAGCCCCCTCCTAAAAGGTGCTTTTTACCTGGGTGTCTCACCAAGGGTAAATTCTGCTGGGGCCAGGAGACACAAAACCAGTGTCCTGCCCCGCAGGCTGAGGGCATGTTTCATTTAGACCTGATGCCTCTTTTTTGGGTTCTAGACTACAGTGGAACTGGGGGTCCTGTCCCTGATCTAAAATGGTTTGGAAAGCTTGTAGTCATTAACCACGAAATAGGATGACTTTTGCTATCCTTTTTCTCTTTGTTTTTCAGTTTGGGAGGTTTCTATCACCATGTCCTCAAGTTCAGAGATTCTTCCCTTGGCCATGTCCATTCTACTCATGAGCCCATCCAAGGCAGTCTTCATGTCTGTTTTGGTGTCTTTGATCTCTAGCATTTCCTTTTGGTGGTTTTCCAGATTTTTCCATCACTCTGCTTACATTACCATCTGTTCTTCCATGTTGTCTACTTTTTTCCATTAGAGCTCTTTGCATATTAATCCTAGTGGTTTTAAATTCCTGGTCTGATAATTCCAACATTACTGCCATATCTGACTCTGGTTCTGTTGCTTGTTCAGTCTCTTCAGGCTGTGTTTGTTAGTTTGATCTTTTGGGATGCCTCAAGATTTTTGGTTGAGAGGTGGACATGATGTAAAGGAACTTGGATAAACGGGCATTTAGTAATGCAATGGTAAGGTGTTAAAGAGGGGAAGTTGTCTGTATAGTCCTATATTGGGTCTTGGTCTTTTGGTGAGCCTATGTCCCTGGACTTTACAAGTGTTTTTCAGTTTGGGTTGTCCCCCCAGCCTTAAAGGGGACAGGTTGCTAGAAGGGGCTAGACTTGGGTATTTCCCTTCCTCTAGGTAGGTTAGGCTCTGGCTATCTAGTTTCTCCTAAGGGCAGATGTTGTTAAGAACAGAATGCAGCTGGGTGTGGTGGCTCATACCTATAATCCTTGCATTTTGGGTGGCCCAGGCAGGAGGGTCGCTTGAGGCCTGGAGTTTGAGACCAGCTGGGGCAACATAATCAGACCCCATTTCTTTAAAAAAGTTAAAAAATTAGCTAGGTTTGGAGGTGCATGGCTATGATCCCAGCTACTTGGGAGGCTAAGGTGGGAGGATTCCTTGAGCCCAGGATTTTGAGGCTGCAGTGAGCTATGAAGAAGAGCAAGACCTTGTCTAAAGGAAGAAGAAGAAGAAGGAGAAGGAGAGGAAGAAATAAGAAAGAAGAAGGAAGAAGAAGAAAGAAGAAGCAGAAGGAGAAGAAGGAGGAGGAGGAGGAAGAGAAGGAGGAGGAGGAGGAGGAGGCCGGGCATGGTGGCTCACACCTGTAATCCCAGCACTTTGGGAGGCTGAGGCGGGTGGATCACGAGGTCAGGAGTTGGAGACCAGCCTGGCCAACATGGTGAAACCCTGTCTTTACTAAAAATACAAAAATTAGCCAGGCATGGTGGTACATGCCTGTAATCCCAGCTACTCAGGCGACTGAAGAAGGAGAGTTGCTTAAACCTGGAAGGCGGAGATTGCAGTGAGCCAAGATCGTGCCATTGCACTCAAGCCTGGGCAACAGAGCGAGACTCTGTCTCAAAAAAAAAAAAAAGAAGAAGAAGAGGACGAAGAAGAAGGGGAAGAAGAAGAAGTCGCAGTTCTGGTGTGTTTCAGAATGACTCCTTTTTCCCTCTCCCTGCTGGAAGCATGAGGAAATTTTCTCTAATATTCACTGTGACAACCTTGCCACGCTCCAGGAAGTAAACTCACAAAAGTGTGGGGATTCCCTGGGACCGGGTCCCCAGAGCTTGAACCCTTAGGCTTGTCCATGCCCAGCCTCCGGCAATTCATCAATCACGGTTTCGGTTTTCCTCCTTCTGCTCCTGGGCTTCTGCAATGGTCAATTGCAATTCTCTGTATTCTCCTGTCTCTCCAATTTTGGGGCAGTGGTTTGCCCTGCGACCTTACTTTTCTTACAGATCTAAGAAGAACTGCTGCTTTTTTGATGGTTTTTTAATGACAGAATTCCCTTTTGCTTTGAGGCGGGATGATGGTAAGTCAGGTTTGACCACTCGCCCCAATTCCTTTCACAAGGCCTGATTCTAAAGGAAAGTCAGCGCACTGCTCAGCAGCAATCTAGAGCACTCAGGTCACCCTTCTGTGTGGTTTTCATTCACCTGTAGAAATGCCAAGGGCTTCCCTGAGGTCTTCTCCTCCTCCAGAGCAGATCTAAGGATGTGTTCTCCCCTGTGCCTTTGATGCTGTCATTTGCCAGCCCTCCCTCTGAGCAGAACAGGCCGGTCATGCCCTGCCCTCTTGCCTTCCAGTCGGAATGTTTTCACCCTTACCTAGACCCTCTGCTCGCCCACTCACACCAACCACAAGTCTTCTAGAACCCACTTACGTCTCCGAGCACAGTGGGATGGCTTGAGAAAGCCCTTGGGTTGGAGGCGTGGGTGGGGCGCCCACAACAGCTGCTCTCCGTGCTGTCCCCTTTCTGTCTCTTGGGCAGGGGCCCTCGTTGCTTGCTGTTCTCTCCTGGCCACACCCTTGCCACCTGTTCTCTGCCTCCTCCCACTCCAGTCCAGCTGTTTACCCCTAAACCTCCTCCCTCCTTTCTGCAACCTAACCCCCCACCGCAGCCTTCTCTGCCTGGGGATCTTCTCAGAGGTGTGGGGAGTATCGTGCTTGAGCCCTAGCGGCCCTAGGAAACCCAACAGCTACCCCTGTCTGGTGTGTTCCTCCCTGGCTCCCCACCCCTAAAATGCTCTGACACTGATCAGGTAAACGCTTCAGTGTCTAGTCACTGGGATGCTTTAAGTTCCCATATGTTCTCGTTATGTCCTGAACCTGTTGGTCCAGGTGACTGTTGTCTACCTTACAAGGGAGAGTCTTGAAAGCCAGAGAGAGAGAGACCGAGACCAGTTCTACACAGTTCTATTTATACAGTGATTAGCACAGAACCATGAGCAATTAGGAACCTAATAAATGCTTCCTGGTGGTGTAATCCTACAGGAAATCATTCCTTCATGTGTTTCTTGTACTTATCCCTTGAACTTGGTGAAAGATGGGTGGAGTAGGGGTGAGATTAAATTGAAAGTATTTTTTAAAACCTTTTCAGAAGTTGAACGTTTAATTTTTCATGGGCATGATTCCTTAGTAGATCTGAGTTGATGGATAGTGCTGGAAATGCAGATCCTATTTACAAAGCCAGGTAGGTCACTATGAGTCCTTAATGAGTTGCCATCGCACATATCTGAATGAATAGGAGTGAAGTCACCCCTTTAGTGGTGTCAAGTCATCACAGTTCTGTTTGGGAGACTTGTCATCCAAAACCAAATACAACATTAAGAGTGAAGCGTCTTTTCCCATCCCTGGGCCCTCCTGGACTCTCAAGTCTTTATATGGCCAGTGCACCTTGCTTCATGTCAGAGTTTTCTTTTAAAAGAGTGAATTTACACCATTTAGAGTTCCTTTGTAAGAAAAAAGTCTGGGCCGGGCGTGGTGGCTCATGCCTATAATACCAGCACTTTGGGAGGCCAAGGCGGGAGGATCACTTGAGGTCAGGAGTGTGAGACCAGCCTGGCCAACATGAGGAAACTCCCATCTCTACTAAAAATTCCAAAAAAAAAAAAAAAATTAGCCAGGCATGGTGGCGCTGGCATGCACCTGTGATCCCAGCTACTAGGGAGGCTGAGGCAGGAGAGTTGCCTGAATCCAGGAGGTGGAGGTTGCAGTGAGCCAAGATCGTGCTACTGCACTCCAGCCTGGGCGACAGAGCCAGACTCCGTCTCAAAACAAAAAAAAAAAAAAAAAAGAAAGAAAAAAGAGAAAAGTCTGAGTAGACGATTATGTTACCTTTTGTAGCCTTATGTTCTTCCTCCAAGCCCTTCACAAGACACTATCAAAGTGTCACCCTGACAATTCCCCGTGTCTGTTTGATAAGGCCTGGGTCAGGGGACTGACTGAGACATAGGTATTCCATCCAGCCTGACCCAGGGACTCGCTTTGTGACTGGGAGATTCTGGAGACAAGGACATGTGGGTTTCCCCGTTCAAGTTTCAGCGTCATAAGATGGGAATCTGTACCAGTGAGCATGAGGTCTGCCAGGCTGAGCAACCCGGAAGAACAAGTTGCTGCATGAATACAGGTGGGAAGTGGGCCCTGGGTTTAGAGGATCTGCCCCAGACCACATGTCAGAGGTGAAAAATAGAGCTCAGACTTCCTGCCTCAGGGTCTCGGGCCCCGGCCAGCTGTGTGTTGGGGGCAGGAGGGAGGAAGTGGAAGGAGCCGGCTTCAAGACACTGTCTGTCCTTGCAAGTCACCAAGTGTCCTGTGCCAAGGAGCTTTTCCCAGTAGCACTGTGAAGCTTTTCTTTCTTTCTTTCTTTTCTTTCTTTCTTTCTTTCTTTCTTTCTTTCTTTCTTTCTTTCTTTCTTTCTTTCTTTCTTTCTTTCTTTCCTTTCCTTTCCTTCTTTCTCTTTCTTTCTTTCCTTCCTTCCTTCTTTCTTTCTTTCTTTCTTTCTTTCCTTCTCTTTCCTTTCCTTCTTTCTCTTTCCTTCCTTCCTTCCTTCCTTCTTTCTTCTTCCTTCCTTCCTTCCTTCCTTCCTTCCCTCCTTCCTTCCCTTCCTTCCTTCCTTCCTTCCTTCCTTCCTTCCTTCCTTCCTTCCTTCCTTCCTTCCTTCCTTCCTTCTTTCTTTCTGAATCTCTCTCTGTCACCCAGGCTGGAATGCAGTGTGCAATCTCTTTGTATTTATTTATTTATTTTTAGCAGAGATGGGGTTTCACCATGTTGCCCAGGCTGCTCTTGAACTCCTGACCTCAGGTGATCCACAGGCCTCGGCCTCCCAAAGTGCTGGGATTACAGGTGTGAGCCACTGCACCTAGCAATGTTTTTTTTTTTTTTTTTTTTTTGATACCTAGTCTTGCTCTGTCGCCCAGAGTGCAGTGGGGCAATCTCAGCTCACTGCAATTTCTGCCTCCCAGGTTCAAGTGATTCTCCTGCCTCAGCCGCTTGAGTAGCTGGGACCACAGGTGCTCATCACCATACCTGGCTGATTTTTTTTTTTTTAATGTTTAGTAGAGACAGGGTTTTGCCATGGAAGGTGCTTTCTTGCTGGCTGCATCCATGAATCACCCCATCTTTGGGCTGCCGGCCCTTGTGTTGGGGTGCTTGGACAGGTGCTGGGTGTTGGTGGTGGTGGAAGCTTGTGCCAGTCCCCAGGGCCACTGCTGACCCGCTGTGTGGGTTTTCGAGGCTGTGATGTCCTGAGCTTGTCAATCAGAATGAGGGAGGTGGGCTCTCTGGGAAGATCGCATGGGTGGTCCCTGGTGGACAGGAAGGGTCAGGGCCAGAATAGGGGTAATGAGTGGGGAGTGAGGGGCGGAGAGAGAATGGAGAGGAGAGGGGTGAACAAGCTTGTGTGTATTGGGAAAGAAAAAAAGAGAAGAGGCCAGAAGAAAGAGAGTGGGCTCCCTCATCCAGTTTCATTTTTATTTCAAAATGATTTTTCCTGCCACTCTGTCCCTGGCTGCTGCTTCTGCTCTGCTTCCTGGTGTCTGACGGCTCACTCTGGTGTGTTTGATTTCATTGTTGGCTCTTCCCTTTGTCCATTTTCTACTTTTGCAGCATTGAGCATTGAGCTAGGCTTTCCTTTTTTCCCCCCTGCTCCTGCTGGTGCCTGCAATTTCCAGAACATACTTTAGACACAGCTCTCTTCTTAGGAACTGGGTGAGAAGCCTTATTTTCGCAAGAACGTTTTTTCCTTTTCTCTGCTTTCTCTGAGTCTCACAGTTCATTTCCTCTTCCCACCAACTTCTTCCTTTCCCTCTTTCCCCTCAGCCAGAGGTATTTTTGTGTGTAACAGCTTTTTTGAGATAAAAGTCACATACCTTATATTCACCCATTTAAAGTGCACAATTTGACTGGTGCAGTGGCTCACACCTGTGATCCCAGGACTTTGGGAGGCCAAGGTGGGCAGATCACTTGAGGTCAGGAGTTTGAGACCAGCCTGACCGACATGGCGAAACCCCATCTCTACTAAAAATGCAAAAAAATTAGCTGGGCATGGTGGTGGGCACCTGTAATCCCAGCTACTCGGGAGGCTGAGACAGGAGAATCACTTGAACTTGGGAGGCAGAGGTTGCAGTGAGCTGAGATCACGCCACTGCACTCCAACCCCGGGCGTCAGAGTGAGACTCCATCTCAAAAAAAAAAAAAAAAGATAAAGTCCACAATTAAACGGTTTTTACTGTATTCACAAGATTGTGCAACCATCATCACAATCAATTTTAGAACATTTTTATCACCCCAAAAAGGCATCCTGTCCCCATTAGCAGTCACCTTCCCATTCCTCCCCTCCCCCAGCCCCTGGCAACTACCAATCTGTTTTCTGTCTCTATGGATTTGCCCATTCTGGACATTTCATATCAGTGTAATCATATAATATTCAGTCTTTTGCGTCTGCCTTCTTTCACATAGCCTAATGTTTGCAAGAGTCACTGTGTTGCAGCGTATGCCAGTATGCCAGTCCTTTTTATTTACAAAACCTGGAGATTTTGTGTGTTCAGAAGCACAGATCTGGGTTGGGGCAAGAGTCAGATGTGATGAACAGGAACATGTGGCACATAGAGAAGGATGCAAAGTGATATGTTATTGAAATGCAATGTGGTGTTTTTGCCACAATAGCACTGCAATCATATTGAAGAACATCAGCTATACCTTGGAGGAGACACAGCAAATCCAGAATGCAGGAGGATCCCCGTCCAGAAAGTTCCTTCCATGCAAATCTCAATGACCCCAAACACCGTCCACTTGTCTCAGTCCCCTTCCATCACTCTAGTCTCTCTGTGGAAAGAGCAACTCCATCCTGTGTGAAATGGTGTGCTTGGGTACCACGCCCATTAAGTTGAGCCCAGGCATGAGTATTTCAGTGTGAGTCTTGGTCAACAAGGAGGGAAATAATTTCATTACTGGAAATTTAAAACAGCCCAAGTGAGAAAGTAAGAGGCAAGAGGTAGATGGAGTTGGCTTTTTAAAATAAAAAAAAAAAAAGATATTATCAAGCCAGCAGGAGATGAAAAGAGGTCCAAGTCATTGATAAGAGAGAGCTTTGAGACTACTTGACATTGAAGCCTGATGCTGTAACAAAATCAAAGGAGAACCAGCAAGCACAGACATCCAGAGTGCATTTGGGTAAGGTGTGTGTGGTGAGGTATCATAATTAGGGTCTCTAAGTTTGCCTTCATTACCCCGACAGAGGTCAGAAACCTTCCTGAGTGCCTACCAGATACCACTCATTTTGCAAACCAGGTAATGATATTACAACAGAAACAGCTGACCATGTTTGAAGTCAAGAATTATAAACCACTGGCATCAATATGAACCATGAGCTAAGAAAGGAATACATGAGTGGAATGCAAAGTTCTCCTCTTGCAAAGATATCTCAACAATTAGATTAACAGTTACAAAATCGATTAAAGTTAAATATAGTGAATTTGATGAATGCAGCTCCAAAATATGAATATAGGAAAATGGAGAAAAGCCGTTGCAGAGCTTCAAAATGGCTGACATTAGGATAGGCTGAGGTGGTTGAAAGGACAAGAAAAGCCAGGGAATGCTTTGCCATGACCTACAACCAAGAGGATTTGCTGCTGTGAATTCTGAAGTTCTGAGACTCAAAAGCGAAACCTGAATAGCTGTCATCTCCCTGGTATGTTCTCTAAGGGCTGTAAAGTGGTGTTGCCTACGCCCTAGAGTTTTACAGAATTCACAGCAGCAGTTATTTTATTTACAATCTTCTATAACCCTAAGATCCAGACACGCTTCCACGGTGCTGGATAGAAACATACCATGCTGAACTCCATTCATTCAAATACTGGACGAGCAGGTATGACTGCCCGGGTGATGAAGCCAGGTCCTGGCGACAAAGCCATGCATCCAATAGTCACGATCCTGCTCATGGAGTTTTCAGTCTATGGGTGAACAGGTATCACATGTATTTATTTGTGATTGCAGAAATGCTGTGAAGATTTTAAAGGTGTTTGAGGGTGTATCACAGGAGACCCTATGTGAATTGGAAAATTGCTGTCATCCTCTGAGCAAGACTTTGTTCCTTGATCAGGCTCATGGCACCTGCGTCTTTCTTCCTTTAAAATGAGTTCTCAGCCCTTTTGCAAGTAAACCACTTTCAGGCCACCACACCATTTTTCCAGACCTGCCCAAATATGCCCTGTCACAGGACATGGTCATAGTCTGAACTCCAGCTGAGATCCCTTCATTGTGTGACAGGAATTTCAAAACCTTCTTCTTTTTCTTTTGTCTTTCTTTATCTTGAGACAGGGTCCTGCTCTGTCACCCAGGCTGGAGTGCAGTGGCAAGATCTCAGCTCACCGCAGCCTCCACCTCTCAAGGCTCAAACGATCCCCCACCCCAGCCTCCAGAGTAGCTGGGCCCCCAGGCATGCACCACCACACCCAGCTAATTTTCCTATTTTTTGTAGAGACAGGGTTTCGCCATATTGCCCGGGCTGGTCTTGAACTCTGGGCTCAATCTACCTTCCTTAGCTCCCCAAAGTGCTGGGATTACAGACGTGAGGCACCAAGCCTAGCCTTTTTTTCTTTTTTATTGTGGTAAATATATTATGTAAAATGTAAATATACTAAAATTCACCATCTTAGTCTTTTTTTTTTTTTTTTTTGAGACAGAGTCTTGCTCTGTCACCCAGGCTGGAGTGCAGTGGCATGATCTCAGCTCACTGCAACTTCCACCTCCTGGGTTCAAGCGATTCTCCTGCCTCAGCCTCCCGAGTAGCTGGGACTATAGGCGTGCACCACTATGCCTGGCTAATTTTCGTATTTTTAGTAGAGATGGGGCTTTGTCATTTTGGCCAGGCTGGTCTCGAACTCCTGACCTCAGATGATCCACCCGCCTAGGCCTCCCAATGTGTTGGGATTACAGGTGTGAGCCACCATGCCCAGCCTCCACCAGACAAAGGTTCTGCTGTTCTTTGTGGCTGGCCTCTTTTTTGCTGGCGTAGATTCTCATTGAGTCTTATTGGACACACATACACAGCAAACTCATGGTGGCAAGGGTTAAAAGACCGGCCTTCTGGCAATAGACAATACCCACAGACACAGACCCTCCAGTCTCGGGCACTTGTAACAGGTGTTTCTCTGTGTGAATGTATTCACAGCTGAAAGAACACTGTCAGGCATTTCTGACAAGAGTGCAAAATGGTACAGCTTCTATGGAGGAGAATTTGGCAATATTTAACAAAACAAATGCAAATGAGTCTCCCTGGACTAAAATCAAGGTGTCAGTAGGGTTGTATTCCTTTTGATTCTGCAATCCAATGTCAATTATTATTATTATTTTTTTGAGATGGAGTTTCATTCTTGTCACCCAGTCTGGAGTGCAGCGGCACCATCTTGACTCACTGCAAACTCTGCCTCCTGAATTCAAGCGATTCTCCTGCCTCAGCTTCCTGAGTAGCTGGGATTACAGGTGCCTGCCACCATGCCCAGCTAATTTTTGTATTTTTAGAAGAGATGGGGTTTCAGCATGTTGGCCAGGCTGGTCTTGAACCCCTGACCTCAGATGATCCACCTGCCTCGGCCTCCCAAAGTGCTGGGATTACAGCCGTGAGCCACCGTGCCTGGCCTCAGTGAATTTATTATAAAGAAATGCCCTCTAAAATGCAAAACAACATCTCAAAAAGTGATTGATTTGGCGGTTTTTTCTTTTTTTTTTTTCGAGACAGGAGAGCATGAAGCCAAGCAGAAAGTTTTCCTAAGTGCAGGATGTTGTGCCTTTGCACGGGGTCACAAGCCCATGAAGCTAGGCCTGATGATAGGAGATGTGTTAAAAGTTCAGAGGAGCCAGGTTGGGCACAGTGGCTCACGCCTGTAAACCCAGCACTTTGGGAGGCCGAGGCAGGCAGATCACTCATGGCCATGAGTTCAAGACCAACCTGGCCAACACAGAGAAACCCTGTCTCTACTAAAAACATAAAAAATTATCTGGATGTGATGGCACACACCTATAATCCCAGCTACTCGGGAGTCTGAGGCATGAGAATCACCTGAACCCAGGAAGCAGAGGTTGCAGTGAGCCGAGATCACGCCACTGCACTCCAGCCTGGGTGACAGAGCGAGACTTTGTCTCAATGACAACAACAACAACAAAAGTTCAGAGGAGCCTGCTTGTGGGGACTCTGCTGGCTAATTTCGGGACAATTTGATTACCAAAAAAGAATAAATGACAGTGGTTTTAACACACTGAATAAAACAGGGATCCATGAGTTTCTAGGGATACTTTATATAGTGATACTACCCGCTATAGATACTATGTAGTAATACTTAAAGAAAAAAAAGTTAATTAAAAAAAAACCAATTTTTTTTTTGAGACAGTCTCACTCTGTCACTCAGGCTGGAGTGCAAGTGGCATGATCTCAGCTCACAGCAACCTCTGCTTCCCAGGTTCAAATGATTCTCCTGCCTCAGCCTCCTGTTTATATATATATATGTATATATTTAATTACTTTTTCCCCCTTTTCCCACAGAAAGAACTTAATAGTAATACTTTATAAAGGTAGGTATGCAGGGGAGGGAAAACTTCTTTATGAAGAGTGCTAGCTAATGAATGTAGACAGAATGGTAGAATTAGAAAAATTACATTTTGCAGCCATTTAATAATAATGATAAAACCACTGGCAATATTTAACAAAACAAGTGCAAATGAGTCCCACTGGACTAAAATCAAGGTGTCAGTAGGGAAGATTGCTGGGAAATAGGACAGTCACATGATTTATAAAGTCTCACTTTATCACTCAAGTGATCTTGGCATGACCAAGAGTGAGACAGTCTGTTATTCTTTGCTCCCTGCTGTGGTGGAGTGGGAAGTACACTGTGTCATATTTTGCCAAAAATGTTTAACTCAAATCTAGACATGAGGAAACAATCAAACAAATATGGATTCTGGGGGCATTCTACAAGGCAGCTTCCCTAAACTCTTCAAAAATGTCATGTAAAAAACGAAAACGAAAAAGGGAGAATGTTCTAGATAAAAGAAAGCTAAAGAAACATGAGAACCAAGTGAGCTGTAAGAGCCTTGATTGGTCTTAGATTGAAAAAGACCATGAGAAGCATTTAGTGGACAGGGAAGGAAGCTGGAATGTGGACTGCATGTTAGGGAGTGTTACTGTACCATGTTCTGTGTCTCGGATGTGATGGTGCTGGTGATGGTTTTGGCCAGGGTTTTGTAGCTGAACGTCTTTGTTTTCAGAAGATACAGGCAGAAGGTTACAGGGTGAAATACTCTGGTGTCTTGCAACTTAGTTTCAAATGTGGGGGTGGAGACAGAGCCAGGGGGAAAGGGAGGGAACAAATGATACACAATGGTAACAATTATTTGAACCTGGATGAGGGGTATAAAGCTATCCTTGTACTTTATTTTTTTTTGAGACGGAGTTTCCCTATCCCAGGCTGCAGTGCAATGGTGCGATCTACCCGGCTCACTGCAACCTCTGCCTCCCGGGTTTAAGTGATTCTCATTTCTCAGCCTCCCAAGTTCAAGATTCTCCTGCCTCAGCCTCCCAAGTAGCTGGGATTACAGGCGCACACCACCAAGCCCAGCTAATTTCTGTATTTTAGTAGAGACGAGGTTTCACCATGTTGGCCAGGCTGGTCTCGAACTCCTGTCCTCAGGTGATCTGCCCACCTCGGCCTCCTAAAGTGCTGGGATTACAAGCATGAGCCACTACACCTGGCCCCTTGTGCTATTCTTTAGCTTCTCTCTAGAAAGCCATTTTTTAAAAATAAAAAGTTAGAGGGGGAAAAAAGTTTTCCTAGCTAAAGTCACATGTCAAGGAGGCATGCAGTGGCACATGAAAGCAGACAAGCCTCTCGGGCTGATTGGCGGTACCCCCCAGAGCAGCAGAGACGCCACCTGGCACTTCAACATCATTAGCTCCATGTCCCTGTCTGTGTGTACCACACAAGCCATCATGGTGAGCACAGCAGCCAGCAGGCACCGCAGTGTGAGATTGGCGCCTGTCCTGGTGCGCCATAATGAGAAGAGCCGAGGCCAGCATTCATGGACCAGCTAGCCAGGCGCTGAGGTTTCCTCTGTGCTGAGAGAAGGCAGGGAGTTTGGTGTCAGTTCAGGCTTGGACAACTTCTGTGGGTCTTATTTGAAAACGGGGGAAAATATACCTAGCTTTATTTATGCAATATAGGTCAAATATTATATGAGACAATATCTTTATTTTGTAGATATGTCTTATTTTGTAGATGATCTCATTATATTTTATGGAGTAATATTCTGAAAATAGAGATAGGTTTTTTCACATATGGGCTGTTACAGATGTACTTGCTGTTGGTAGGTCTACTAGTTTGTGTCCTAGAAACCCAGAATTTAGAATGATTCTGTTTCTTATTATTCCTGTCAAAAGAGAGAGAGAAAAAAGCAGTGCATCTGAAATGGTCTCTGCTGTGTTACTGACTACTCCTGACACGAGAGGACTTCTTTCTTATTGGGCTTCAGTGAAAACGGATTGCACATCTCCCTTCCTCCTTCCCTCCCTCCCTCTCTCCTGCCTTCCCTTCCTTCCTTCCTTCCTTCCTTCCTTCCTTCCTTCCTTCCTTCCTTCCTCTCCTCCTCCTCCTTTTTCTTCTTCTTCTGTTAGAGATGGGATCTTACTGTGTTACCCAAGCTGGTCTCCAACTCCTGGCTTCAAGCAATCCTCCCCACCCAGCCTCCTAAAGTGCTGGGATTACCACCACTTTGGGAGCCACCGCACCTTCCTCATTGCACATTTCAAACTTGCTTTTCTTCTACTCCCTGAATATCTTTGGTCCTCGGTGCAATAGGTCACGTGACGGCATGGCATGCCTTCTGGTCCTGCACCCTTGTGTCACAAAGCAGGGTGCATCACCCTCATGCACAGTAGGGACATTTCTGGAAGACATTCTTACACCAAGATGGCTGGTAATAATCATAGACAGAGGGATTGCGAACCACGTGGATACATGTGGCCAAACACAGTAAGATGCATCCCTAACTTAACTTCCCCTTAGCTGGAATCCAAAATGACACAGTCATTCCAATGGTACCTGTTCCAGGGGAAGTATGATGGAGAGAAAATCCGAGAGGAAAGAGATAGCAGTCTGTAATTAAAATATCCACTTTCGCAAAACAAGAGGGGAAAAAAAGAAGGAAGGCGGGAGGGAAAGAGGGAAGGGATTCTAGGGCTTTTTAGGAGCAAGTTCAAGGGCGGGAGGGCTGGGGGCTGAAGCTTAGGTTCCGTTAGCATCATGAGAAATCTGCTTCTGGATATGTTATACAGGAGGTAGAGATGACCACTGGGCAATCAGAAGTGTGGGTTTGAAGAAATGGTGGGTGCTGGTGTAGAGTTTAGGGAGTCATTCCACAATAAGTACAGCTGTGTGAGCAGATGAGTTCCCCCAAAGGAAAGTGCAAAAGGAAGAAGAAAAGAGGGCGGGGCACGGTGCCTCCCTCCTGCAATTCCAGCACTTGGGGAGGCTGAGGTGGGCAGATCACTTGAGCCCAGGAGTTTGAGACCAGCCTGGGCATCATGGCGAAACCCCATCTCTACAAAAAATTTAGCTGGGCATGGTGGTGTGACCTATAGTCCTAGCTACTTGGGAGGCTTGGGAGGCTTAGGTGGGAGGATCACCTGAGCCTAAGGAGGTTGAGGCTTCAGTGAGCCATGATTGCACCACTGCACTCCAGCTTGAGTCTCAAAAAAAAAAAAAAAAAAAAAGAAAAAGAAAAGAGGACTGAGAATAGAATCTTGGGTTATATTTAGTTATGGGGTGTAGGTAAGGAGATGGCTACAAAGTTTTGGGTCAAGAAACTGATTAGAGCAAGGATATAAAGGTGGGGTGTGAGGAATGACCACAACCAGGTTGGTTTGAGATTTTTGTCACTTAAAACTGAAAGAATTCTGATAATACCTGTATTTAAATATTCAAAACCAAATGTAAGCTTAGGCTTGTGGCTCTTGGACAACCGTAAAATCAAAACATATTAAGTACCAGCATAATTGCAAAACTCATAAAACAAATTAGCATTTAGTATGACAGATGCTATTGTTTTGCTGGAATAAAATCACTTCTATTGGCATTTATAGTAGAAAAATTATTTCTATGGTTGAGACTTCACTTGTTGGTTTGGTGATTTTGATTTTGAGTATCATGCCCATCATAATGTTTGTCATTATCTCTGTTGATAATTTTCCTTTTTAGCAAAGATGATTTTATATCATATATTTATTATTTAGAAGAGACCGTCTAATAGTACATTCCAAATATGATGGCAAAAAACTTTTAAAATATCATTTGATGGGGTACAGTGGCTCATGCCTGTAATCCCAGCACTTTGGGATGCCGAGGTAGGTGGTTCACTTGAGGTCGGGAGTTCGAGACCATCCTGGCCAACATGGTGAAACTCTGTCTCTACTAAAAACACAAAAATTAGCCAGGCATGGTGGTGCACGCCTGTAGTCCCAGCTACTTGGGAGGCTGAGGCAGCAGAATCACTTGAACCTGGGAGGCAGAGGTTGCAGTGAGCAGTGAGCCGAGATTATGTCACTGCACTCCAGCCTGGGTGACAGAGTGAGACTCTGTCTCCAAAAAATAAATAAATAATTAATTAATTTAACAGAGTTTATTAATTGAATTGATTGTTGGTTGTGCCCATTCATGATCTGTTGTAAGCTGCTGCGTGTTCCCACCCTGGGATTCTTACACTACACTCACTCACCATGTGAATATGGATTTGAAGGGTGGAACACAGTCTTTTGAGTTTTGTATGCTTATACCACCCTGTGTATTTTTTTTTTTTTTTTTTTTTGAGACGGAGGCTCTCTCTGTCGCCCAGGCTGGAGTGCAGTGGCGCGATCTCGGCTCACTGCAGGCTCTGCCTCCCGGGTTCAGGCCATTCTCCTGCCTCAGCCTCCCAAGTAGCTGGGATTACAGGCACCTGCAACCATGCCCGGCTAATTTTTTGTATTTTTAGTAGAGACGGGGTTTCACCGTGTTAGCTAGGACGATCTCGATCTCCTGACCTCGTGATCCTCCCGCCTCGGCCTCCCAAAGTGCTGGGATTACAGGCGTGAGCCACAGTGCCCGGCCCACCCTGTGTATTTTGATAACTCAGTTTCCCACCTTTTTTCTCCAATCAGAGTCCCGCAAGAGCTTTATTTCTATGCTGCAATTTCAAATGACCTACAAATTCTTAGAAGTGTAAAGAACTAAAAATATGTAACCAACTAAAATTGGGTTGTGGGAGGCTGCAGAAAGCAGAGAGAGACTAATTCACCATTGCTCAAAATAAAGTGTCAATACTGTCTAAAGAATGTACTCTCCAAACTTCACATCAAACTTTTTTGGGATGCAGTGCGATGTGGTACAGAGAGTAACAGGTTTTGGAGTCAGATGGCTCTGAATTGGTTGACACTCTTACTAACTTGGACATTCGAAAGTTATGTAGTCACTTATTTTCCTCATCTGTAGAGAAAGGCTACACTGGTGAAATGAGATCATGAAGCTAAAATGCCCAAAGGTAGGCCTGGGGCACAGTTGGTTATCATTAATAATAGTTATTATCAGTTGTAGATACTTAGGAGGACTAAAATAAATATGGAACCCAATATCCTAGTAGATGAGTAAGAGAGGGTTCGCAGACCTCGTGGGTGTGAACGTAGGGAGTGTTGTATGGAGTCAGACCAACCAAACAAAGGGAGTTGGCATTTGCGGTCACTCAGATTTTATGCAGCCAGGTTACTGCTGGCTCTGGATGGTTGACACACAGTGTGATGTTTCACTGCATTTGTATCAAGATAATGGCGCAACCATCCCCCCAAAATCCAGCATTATTCATAATCGCATCTTTCATCATCAATTTGGGGAAAGTCTTTGGTACACAGTCAATTCCTGGGGATGCAAATGATGATTTCTTCCTTTTTTTTTTGAGACGGAGTTTTGCTCTTGTTGCCCAGGCTGGAGTGCAGTGGCACTATATCGGCTCCCCACAACCTCCGCCTCTGGGGTTCAAGCGATTCTCCTGCCTCAGTCTCTCGAGTAGCTGGGATTACAGGCATGTGCCACCATGCCCGGCTAATTTTGTACTTTTTTAGTAGAGATGAGGTTTCTCCATGTTGGTCAGACTGGTCTCAAACTCTCGACCTCAGGTGATCCGCCCACTTAAGCCTCCCAAAGTGCTGGGATTACAGGTGTGAGCCACTGAGCCTGGCCTATTTCTTCCATTTTTAAGTATTCACATCTCTTTTTTTTTTTTTTGTGATGGTGTCTCGCTCTATCACCCAAGCTGGAGTGTGGTGGTGAGATCTTGGCTCACTGCAACCTCTGCCTCCCAGTTCACTCTATTCTCCTGCCTCAGCCTCCTGAGTAGCTGGAATTACAGGCACGAGCCACCACACTTCCCACTTTTCTGTTTGAAATTTTCAAGCTGGGCACAGTGGCTCACGCCTGTAATCCCAACACTTTGGGAGGCCAAGGCAGCTGGATCACCCTGAGGTCAGATGTTCAAGACCAGCCTGGCCGACATGGTGAAACCCTGTCTCTACTAAAAATACAAAAAAATTAGCCAGGCGTGGTGGCGGGCACCTGTAATCCCAGCTACTCGGGAGGCTGAGGCAGGAGAATCACTTGAACCTGAGAGGTGGAGGTTGTAGTGAGCCGAGATTGCACCACTGCACTCCAGCCTGAGTGACAGAGCGAGACTGCGTCTCAAAAAAAAAAAAAAAAAAAAAAAGGAAATAACAATGGAATGATTCACCTCAAACTCTTCACAGTAAATTCCTATGGGAGAAGGGAGCTGTGCTCTTTCAGCTTGGAACTAAAGTGGGACCTTAATGTTTCATTCTCCATACCACTGTATTGTATGACAATAAGCATATTCTAAATTATTACATCTGGTGATGTTGGTAACATCCTGTGTCCTTTTGATGCCACTGTTGCTGTGTCTTATTTAACTCTCACGGTGGGGATAAATAACCTATGGCTTATGTCTCTGGTTTGATAAGATGGAGTTAGGACGTGAGACCAGGGCATGGTGGTGGCAGAGGACGGCGGGCAGAAGTGAGGAAATGGGTGAGAAACATGTTTCTCATCTGGGCCCCAGGCCCAACAGCCCTGTGAGCTCACACTTCAAAAAAGGGCCCACCACCTGCTGACCTGAGAACTAGAGAAGTAACTCTCAGTCCAGAGATGGAGTTGGGGACACTTGGACCTGGGAGGTCCTGGAGACCCTCAGCTTCCTCTTTCCTTTAAGAGGGAAGATAGAAGAGAAGCTGTTCTTAAGATAGAAGCTGTTCTTCTGCACCCCACCCTGCCATCATTTCCAAATGAAAGTGGAGTCAAAGGCTTCAAGTATGAAATACAACTTTTTTCTTTTTGAGACGGAGTTTCGCTCTTGTTACCCAGGCTGGAGTGCAACAGCGTGATCTTGATTCACTGCAACCTCCGCCTCCTGGATTCAAGGGATCCTCCTGCCTCAGCCTCCCAAGTAACTGGGATTACAGGCATGCGCCACCGTGCCCGGTTTTAGTATTTTTGGTAGAGACGGGGTTTCACCGTGTTAGCCAGGCTGTTCTCGAGCTCCTGACCTCAAGTGATCCGCCCACCTCGGCCTCCCAAAGTGCTGGGATTACCGGCATGAACCACTGTGCCCGGACAGAAATACAGCTTTAAATTGGTTCAACTGGAATGTGTCCATCCCCTTATTCAAAGCCCACCTCCCCTCATTCATTGACTGGCTGCACTTTTACCTTTGTAGGCCTCTGTCAGATAAAACATGTAACAGAGTAGGCTTCATTCACCATCAACCAGCAAAGGCTTAGAGTTCTGCATCCACATCTCAAAAATGTACAAACAATGGAGATGAAAATGAGAGTAACACATATAATGAAGGAAATGGAAAGTTTGATGTGTGCATAAAACAATAAACTGTACAGATGTATAATAAACTGTACAGAAATAATATACAAGATGCAAAGACTAGAAATAGAAAAACAGGCCGGGTGTGGTGGCTCACGCCTGTCATCCTAGCATTTTAGGAGGTCGAGGCAGGCAGATCACGAGTCAAGAAATCGAGACCATCCTGGCCAACAACGTCTCTACTAAAAATAAAAAAATTAGCTGGGCATGGTGGCAGGCGCCTGTAGTCCCAGCTACTCAGGAGGCTGAGGCAGGAGAATCACTTGAACCCGTGAGGCGGAGGTTGTAGTGAGCCGAGATCGTGCCACTGCACTCCAGCCTGGCGACAGAGAGAGACTGTCTAAAAAAAAAAAAAAAAAAGGAACTAAAGCAAAAAGCAAAAAGAGAGAAAGAGAGGGAGAGGAAAGAAGCAGATTTTTAAAGACTTGGTTGATCACAGCCGGGCGCAGTGGCTCACGCCTGTAATCCCAGCACTTTGGGAGGCTGAGGCAGGTGGATCACGAAGTCAGGAGTTCAAGACCAACCTGGCTAAGATGGTGAAACCCCGTCTACTAAAAATACAAAAAAATTAGCCGGGCGCGGTAGCAGGCACCTGTAATCCCAGCTACTTGGGAGGCTGAGGCAGGAGAATTGCTTGAACCCAGGCGGCAGAGGTTGCAGTGAGCCGAGATCGCGCCACTGCACTCTGGCCCGGATGACAGACTGAGACTCTGTCTTAAAAAAAAAAAAAAAAAACTTGGTTGATCACTTGCCTGTCATATTTGTAAAATATCACATTTTACATTTGTGTTGTATGAAACTCAAGCTACTACCAAGATGCCCTTTTGTTTTGGGGTTTGTTACAAACAACATTTGTTCAAGATTTAGCCTAAGAGATTGCTTTTTCCTCTCAATCCACAAACATGTTGCTTAGGGCAGGAAATGTACATTCAATGAATGATATGTTGAAAATACAATGCATAAAAGAATAGGCACACTTTCCTTTTTTTTTTCTTTTGTGTAGAATTAAATCGCTGGAAGGAAGCCAAGGAAGTTACACATCTAACCTCCTGTTTCTGGCAGAACAGCCCTTAATTTGTTGGTATTTGGTAATCAGGTTGTTTTGGACCTTAGATGTTATGGATTGATTTCTTTATTTTCCAGCCAACCCATTTTAATTTTTTCATATTTCCATAAGGAAATGAGATAAAGTGCTTTTATATAGATTATAAATGTATTCTACTTTTTATTAAAAATTGTGAATAAATATTCTTTTTTATTATCTGCCTGAACATCAGTGTACCTCCTGCTATACATAGGCGTATGTTGATTTTTATTTAAGACATTTCTGTCCAACCAAGTCACGGCACAGAATGAATCTTTTGTTTCCTTCATGTTTTTTGGAATGTAGTAGAATTTTCATTTTACTGAGTCTTAGTTTCTTCATCTGTAAGATACAAGCATTTGCTGTTAAGAGTCACATGTATACATTATATAAATTATCCTATAAACACACCCATAGAGAGATGAAAACACTTTGTCTATAAAGTGCCAGAAAAATGTTAGGTACTTTGTTCCCAATTCAATATAAGGGGTTGAATTTTTTTTTCAAAATATAGGTTAGGATAAGTGTGTACATATAAGAAAGCATATGCGGCCAGGCACGGTGGCTCACGCCTGTAATCCCAGCACTTTGGGAGGTGGGTGGATCACCTGAAGTCAGGAGCTTGAGAACAGCCTGGCCAACATGGTGAAACCCCATCTCTACTAAAAATACAAAAGTTAGCCGGGCGTGGTGGCGCACACCTGTAATCCCAGTTACTTGGGAGGCTGAGGCAGCAGAATTGCTTGAACCCGGGAGGCGGATGTTGCAGTGTGCTGAGATCGTGCCGCTGCACTCCAGCCTGGGAGACAGAGCAAGACTCTCTGTTTAAAAAAAAAAAAAAAAAGGAAAGAAAGCAAGCATATCCATTCTAACTCAGAAAAGTGGAAAGTGAAGATGTTGAATGGCCAATTGGTTGTGTGGTTGTTAGACTCAGGATAGAGGTCTGAGCTGGAGAAAAGAGATTTGGGAGTTATCAGCCCATCTATGGAGTTGAAGCCAAAGGTGTGGATCAGGTCACATAAGGATAGTGTGGAGAAGCAGAAGTGATGAAGATGACCTGGAGCTGAATCCAAACACATACTAGCTGTTTAAGGCAGAGGCCTTGAAACTGGGGTCAAGCACTTTTAGGCACGTCCGAAGACTGTAAGGCATAGGCGAGCATGCAGGTTTCAAGAATCCATTTCGAGATTCTCACTTCCGTTTGTAACTTCCCTCCACTTGCTCTGCCTGGGAACACGCCTGTGCTGGGGAGGTGGGGAGTGGGGTGGTATCTCTGTTCTTATCCGTTCAATATTGCCTTTCTTCCACTTTCCAAGGGAAAGGCAATACTCTTCGTAGCACCGTATTGCATTATGCTGGACTGTGGAAAACCTCTGGGGCCCCAAACAAAGCAGCAATTAGGAACATTGATATTGGTTCTGAGACAGCAAATGACTCCAGTGCCAGGTGACAGACCCTCTGTCAGCCAAGTGGCCTCCAGCTCTGCATTCAACAAAGCTGAAGTAGGACCTTATTAAATTGTCAGCTGTTAAATCCCTATAGATTGCTTGTGCTTATAGCTCACTCTGTGATTTTTGGCTTAAACACAAAAGGAATTCAAAGAATCGAAAGAAATTGCTATAAAAAAAACTTCCTCTCCCTTCCACTATGTGAATAAAGTGTCTCAGAGCTTACATCTATAAAAATGAAAAATAGGAATAAAATTGATGCTGAATCCTGCTTCACTCTAGCAAAAGGTCGTATTTACCAACAGATAACTAAACTATAAGGGAAAAGACATATGTATTTCCAGCCTCATCTATTAAATGATACATTTCCAATAAAAATTTTTTATGGCGAAACTAAAGTGACAGAAACCAGATCAGTGATTGCTTGGAACTAGGTATTAGGGGATTGCTTGCAAAGAGGCAAGAGGAAAATTTGGGGTTGAGGAAATGTTTTATATCTTGCTTTTTTTTTTTTTTTCTTTGAGACAGAGTCTCACTCTGTAGCCCAGGCTGGAGTCCAGTGGCATGATCTCAGCCCGCTGCAAACCCTGTCTCCCGGGTTCAAGTGATTCTCCTGCCTCAGCCTCCCAAGTGGAGGGGATTACAATCGCGTGCCAACATGCCTGGCTCGTTTTTGTACTTTTTGTAGAAACAGGGTTTCGCCATGTTGGCCAGGCTGGTCTCAAACTCCTGGCCTCAAGTGATCTGCCTGCCTTGGCTTCTCAAAGGGCTGGGATTACAGGCATGAGCCACTGTGCCCAGCAAATATCTTGATTTTGATTGTGGTTTTGGTTACATAACTGAACACAGTTGCCCAAACTCATCAAAACGTACACTTAAAATGGGTGAATTTGGGGGTGATGTAAATTACACCTCAATAAAACTGAGACGAAGCCTTGTTTAATAATTATGTACTAAATTTATATTTAATCAATTGTGTACCAATAATCATTGTAATAACAACACAATCCTGAGGAAATCTTTAATACTTAGAGGCCTGTAGCTATGGGAAGCGCAGACAATTTTAATTTATACCTATTTTCAGAGAAGTAAAGGTAGTGATTAATAAAAGACTATAAAGCATAAAACGTATTACATAAGGGTTTAATTCTGTGGGAAAATAAATAGAATATCAAAGAGAAAAATAAACTATATATTAATAAAATGCCAACTATTATAAACATTTTTAAAATATGCAGTAGGCTATAACTAACAAACCACCATGTATTTTAGATTTAATTACATCTATTTTGAAGAATGATATGATAGTTTTTTTTTTTTTTTTTGTGACAGAGTCTTGCTCTGTCACCCTGGCCGGGGTGCAGTGGTGCGATCTCAGCTCACTGCAACCTCCACCTCCCGGGTTCAAGCGATTCTCCTGCCTCAACCTCCTGAGTAGCTGGGATTACAGGTGTGTGCTACCATGACCGGCTAATTTTTGTATTTTTAGTAGAGAAGGGGTTTCACCATGTTAGTCAGGATGGTCTCGATCTCCTGACCTCGTGATCCTCCCGCCTCGGCCTCCCAAAATGCTGGGATTACAGGCATGAGCCACCGCGCCCGACTGATTGTTTTATTTTAAATATTGGTACTGGCCAGGCGCAGCGGCTCATGCTTGTCATTCCAACACTTGGGGAGGCTGAGGCAGGAGGATCGCTTGGGCCCAAGAGTTTGAGACCATACTCAACAACAAAAAGCTGGGCATGGTGGTGCATGTCTGTAGTTCCATCTATTTGGGAGGCTGAGGAGCACTTGAGCTCAAGAGTTCGAGGCTGTAGTGAGCTATGGTCACACCACTGCACACCAGCCTGGGCAACACAGCACGACCCTGTCTCTAAAATGAAATAAAATAAAACAGAATGTTGATACTTATAATATACTATAAAATTTATTCTTTGCAGCTGTTTAGACATAGCTTACTTTTTATATCAACTTAAAAAATGTACACGGAGAATACATATTTGTTCAAAATAACTTTGGGAATAAAAAAACAAGAGGCCTAAGAAAGAATAACCAGAAAGAGGCCGGGCATGGTGGCTCACACCTGTAATCCCAGCACTTTGGGAGGCCGAGGCTGGCGGGTCACAAGGTCAGGAGTTCGAGAACATCCTGGCCAACATGGTGAAACCCCGTCTCTAATAAAAATACAAAAATTAGCTGGGCATGGTAGCGGGCACCTGTAATCCCAGCTGCTCAGGAGGCTGAGGCAGGAGAATCACTTGAACCTGGGAGGCGGAGGTTGCAGTGAACCAAGATAGTGCCACTGTACTCCAGCCTGGACGACGGAGTGAGACTCTGTCTCAAAAAAATAAATAAATAAATAAAATAAAATAAATTAAAATAACCAGAAAGAAAGAAAGAAAACGAACTCAGAGAGAATGTTCATATAATTCTAAGAAGAGGAGCCGCGCAATGAAGGTACATTGTTTCAAGCCTCAGAGAGATCAAGGTAAGAGCCCCAAGATAACCCATTGAGGCTTTAATTTATGAGTGAATGTGTTGGGAGAGATAGTCTCACCTTTCCCCAGACCAAGAAGAGATTTTGAGTTTGGAGAAGAAAGATTCCCTTGGCCTCCAGGACCTAAAAAAAAAAAAAAAAAAAAAAATGCTGAATTGCTCAAAGGCAAAAAAGACATCCAAGGAGATTGCAAAATTGGGAGTGAGATAGTGAGAGAAGAGTGTTTTAGAGAATGGGGAAATGGCCGGCTGCGGTGGCTCGCACCTGTAATCCCAGCACTTTGGGAGGCCGAGGCGGGTGGATCACTTGAGGTCAGGAGTTGGAGAACAGCCTGGCCAACATGGTGAAACCCAGTCTCTACCAAAAATACAAAAATTAGCTGGGCATGGTGGTAGACGCTTGTAATCCCAGCTACTAGGGAGGTTGAGGCAGGAGAATTGCTTGAACCCGAGAGGCAGAGGTTGCAGTGAGCCGAGATCGCACCACTGTACTCCAGCCTGGGTGACAGAGCATGACTCTGTCTCAAAAAAAAAGAAAAAGAATGTGGAAATGAATGGAGGCCTGTGGATTCTCCTGATAACCCCCTGGGTAGGTGGCAGTGCTGTGTCTATCCAGGGAGGCACCAGGCTTTCCAGCCTACATAGTGCCTGGCTTAGAACAGATGAAGGAGAGCCACTCACTTCCAAGGGAAGCAAATGGCTGGACAAGAAGCATATCACTCCAGCCTTTCATGCACCAAAGACCCAGCAGCCTCCGATGTTCCATGCCGTCTAAAGCCTTCCTGAACCTTGCATGGCCCTGGGCCTGGGACGGAAGCCTCTGTAATGGCTGAGATGGGATTTCCTCCTTACCCAGGGGGACAGGAAGCTCGGAAGCAGATGAATGTTTTAGGAAACGTAGAAATGTAATATTTTTTGAAGTCTGTTGTTGCATATTAAAAGCCACGCCATAAGGACTGAAAAGTGTTAGGTTGGATTTGATAGCCGGGAGGTCACAGGCGCAGTTTCAGTAGGGTGTGGGGTATGATCTAGATTCTATGAAGCAAGGAATGAGTGGGAGAAGAGGAAGTGGAGCAATACACGCAGACTCCTATTTCAAGAAGCTTGGCTATGAATAGAAGGTGAGATGAAGGGCAGATACGGAGTGGAAGACTCAGCCGGGGCTGCTGACAGCAATCTTGTGATGTGCAAGGCTGGACCGGAGACCAACCTGTCTGGGCATCTTTTGGTTGTTTTCTTGGTATTTATAAAGGTAATTGTAAAGTCAGGCAAGCCGTTGCAATAACTGACCCCTCAAATCTCAGCAGCTGCCTGCCACACGAGAGAGTTTTATTTCCCATGAAGATAAAGTCCAAGTGGTTGATCCTACTCGGTGATCATGTTCAGCAGCAGAGATACAAAGACCCAAGCTAATCCCATCCATGCCATCTTCCACACGTGGCTCCCAAAGTTGCTCTGGAAAGGGGAAAGAGCACAGAGGATGGCCTTTGGGAGGTTTACCTGGTTGTGGACTGGAAGTGGTGCACATCACTTCTGCCCACTTTGAGCAGAACTCCGTCCCATGACCACACCTGCCTGCAAAGGATCTGGAAATGAGACGTAGCTGTGCGCCCGGTCAGGACAGGAGGTAAATCTGATGGATGCATAGCTAGTCTCTGCCACATCACTCTACCCACTCATTACTATGACCCAATTAGCTTGTATCTTAGCCTCGAGATCCTACCCTCAGTTTAGATGGTATCTTGACGATGTTACTGCTCAGATACCTGTTCTAAGCTGTTTCCTGCTTGATATATTCAAGTCTGGACTTCTTGTAAAAACTGTAAGGGAAACATCCCGTTTATGACACAAGTCACAAAACCCCTAAATTCTTAGCTTGGGAAGGATCAGAGGGGAGGGTTTACGGGGTTGGGGGTATGGCAGGCAATAGGACCAGTCTCCCCGAAACACTCCTTTTTTGGGGTTTTCCTTTGGGGTTCTCCACTGTGATGACCATTGGCTCCAGGGACTTTCTCCAGTAACAATGTACCCCCAATGTAAACAAAGTGTCCCTCCCACATCTGTGCAGGATGGCGTTTTCAAAAAGACTTAGTAAGTTCTAAGGGAGGACAAATGAAAAATTAAGAGGTATTATATGTAAGCCAGAGGACTCTAGTCACACATAGCCATAGAATTGCTCACTGTTGGCCAGGTGCGGTGGCTCATGCCTGTAATCCCAGCACTTTGGGAGGTCAAGGCAGGCGGATCACCTGAGGTCAGGAGTTCCAGACCAGCTTGGTCAACACGGTGAAACCCCGTTTCTACTAAAAATACAAAAAAACTGGCAGGGCGCGATGGCTCACGCCTGTAATCCCAGTACTTCGGGAGGCCGAGGCGGGCAGATGACAAGGTCAAGAGATTGAGACCATCCTGGCCAAGCCAACATGGTGAAACCTCATCTCTACTAAAAATACAAAAATTAGCTGGGCGTGGTGGTGCACGCCTATAGACCCAGCTACTTGGGAGGCTGAGGCAGAAAAATCACTTGAACCCGGGAGGCGGAGGTTGCAGTGAGCTGAGATCGCGCCACTGCACTCCAGCCTGGGCAACAGAGCAAGACTCTGTCTCATAAAAAAAAAAAAAAATTACTCACTGTCTGTCTACTGTCTCTCTCTTTTTTTTTTGAGATGGAGTCTCAGTCTGTCACCCAGGCTGGAGTGCAGTGACATGATCTCGGCTCACTGCAGCCTTCGCCTGCTGGGTTCAAGTGATTCTCCTGCCTCAGCCTCCTGAGCAGGTGGGATTACAGGCACACACCGCCATATCCAGCTATGTTTTTTTTGTATTTTTAGTACAGACAGGTTTCACCACGTTGGCCAGGCTGCTCTTGAACTCCTGACCTCAGGTGATCCACCCGCCTTGGCCTCCTAAAGTGCTGGGATTACAGGCGTGAGCCACTGCCCCCAGCTTGTCTCCTTTTTAAGTGCTGTCCCTAATGACTTGCAGGACTTCTTAATGTGGATAGTTGGATTTGTCCCTGGCTTGAGACACTCTTCTAGACTTGGATATCTGACTCTTCATCTCAGTGTTCTATCAGCTTGACTTACTGATGTGCCATCTTGCTTAGTCAGTTTGGACTGCCTCCGATGCCCTGGGTTTTGGAATGTGTTTCTTGGCCCTGGGCCTTGGTGTGTGTTTGTATGTGGATGTGTATTTGTGATAGTTCCAATCTGGACTGTTTTTTGCCTTGGCCACTGAGCCTGTACCATAGCTAGACTTACCCGGTGCTTCAAGCCTCCTTGTGTTCCTCCAGGTTACTCTTTTGACAGGCTATCTGCAGACACCACAGCAGGACCCAACCCCCAGTTCCCTCTCCTGTACTTTTAGTTCCTGAGTGACCCAGTTCTATCTTGGGTAATTAGCAGACCAGGGACTGACCTCAACCTTCAAATGAGCTTAATCTCTCTATAACGAGGGTGTAGAATTATGCAACGTTTGAGCAACACACACAAATTGTGTTTACCCTGGTATTTAGCAAGCCTACGAGAGAGCCGGAAATCCACAAGGAAAGTTATCTTAATGGAAGGGAGAGTCAAAGGGCACATGGCGGTCAAAGACAATGGGCTCTAGGAATTGAATGTTTGTGTGCCTCACAAATTCATATGTTGAAGTCCTTACCCCTAATTGATGGTCTTAGGAGATGGGGCCTTTGGGAGACAATTAGGTCATGAAGACAGAGCTCTCATGAATAGGAGTAGTGCCCTTATAAAAGGGAACCCAGAGAGCTCTCTCTGCACTTTTTGCCACATGAGGACAGAGCAAGAAGGCGGCCATGTGCAACCTGGAAGAGAGCCCTCACTAGAACCCAATGATGCTGCTGCCCTGATCTGGGATTTCCGGACTCCAGAACTGTGAGGAAGAAGTTTCTGCTGTTTATCGTAGACCCAGTCTAGATATTCTGTTAGAGCCGCCCACGCTGACTAACACGATGGGCAAGTGGGCGTGACTCCAGTGCTCATTCCATCACCTTGCCTCTGGCTTGGCTCTCAGAGATTCTTGCTTGGGCCCTAAGAAGAAGGGACTCTAATAAAAAAGCACAATAAAAGGAGTGTTTTACAAAATTTCCTTGGCTCATTAGGGGGCCCAGGTGACATTTCAGGGGAGGGATATTCCAGGGCAGCTGGACCCTGGGAGGAATATTGTGGGTACCAGGCTGTAGATGAAAGAGGATAAGACATGGGGGAGTGGTGCCATTTGGGGAGGGCTGGAGTTTCTGTAATTCCAAGTGACGTGGCTTGTGGAGATATGGGTTGCACATATCCTAGTATGCACATCTGTACACACACATTTATACATACAGGACTTTAAAAGGTGAGGCAGCAGAATGCTATTCTGGATGCTTTTTTTCTTCTGTATTACCGAAGCCGGAACAGAATTCTGGAATGTCATCAAGAAGATTTCATCTCAGATTAAGCAAGATAACAATATTTAGAGTAAACAGATAAACAGAAACTTGAATTAGAATAAGAATATGATCAAGATGTGAGGTTTTCTTGCGGGAAATACTTCTCTATTTATGAAAAATATTAATAAGTGATCTAAATGTATAAGGTTTTAACCTATGAATATGAGAGGGAGAGACAGAATCTTTCCATTGAAGAATCTCCCAGGCTACATGAAAAAATCAAGATAATGCCTGTATGAGCTTTAAAAAAATCAACTTATACATAAGAACTTGAAATGAAAAGCAAGTTCTGGAATCCATTTCTCCACACCTTACTGGCCCCCATCTTCTACCATTTCTGGTATTTTTTTCCCATAGCTCTAAATAATATGCATGTACAGTGATTTCTTGATTTATAAATGTTAGGCATTGTATTTTGACTTCCTTATATCATAGTGAAGTATGTAACTTAAGATTAGCATCCTCTCCCATTTTCTTTCCAGTACAGTTAGAAAAAAATCTTCCATTTCTCTCTCTTAATTTCTATTTCCAAGCTAAAAAATGATACCCAACCCTCTATTTTTTATTTTATAGATGGTATCTTTCAATTCCTCACTTAGGCAGATGAAAATCTTGCCTCTTGTTCTTTTTTTGTTACTACTCATCATTATCATCCTTTTCTTCTTCCCATCTCTATCAGCTGCATCTTTATCATTTTATTGTGAATGCTAATATTTAAACTCTGATCAAGTTAACTCTAGTTAACTTTGATTTGTCGATAGATTGATTATAAAAGTTGATAATCAATGTGCAATCAATATTTCTTTTTTGCTATCTAGAATTTGAAATTTTTCATGTATTTGAGGCATTTTCCACCTAATGAGTCCTGGGGGAGGCAGAGCTCTTCTACTATTACAGAAAATAGAAAATGCAAATACTTAAGCCTCCCAGCTTCCCTTGCTGGTATTGGGTAGGTATTTAACCTAGGCAGAGCCAATTTTATGCATCAGTATGTTTTAAATTGGGAGCAGCTCATGAAAACAGTCATGGATGCTGAGAATTTCCGGGGCAGTGGTGGTGGTGGCAACGACAACCAGGTTCAGGGATGGGAGAAAGGCGAGGAAGGGACTCAGTGGTGCAGTACAACACCCACTGTCCAATGTGATTGGTTGGACGGCATCAACTATGTCATCTGTTGCTTAGCAATGGTGGCAATAGTGGGGTTCTCCCTGGACAGCCTCATTATGGCCGTGGGCCCCACTGGGTAACTTCTGAGCCTCCAGTAGTTCCCAGAGTCACTGATACCTTTCAAGAAATTCTTTTTCTGTTCAGATCAGTTAGGGTTGATTTTCATAGTTTCTGATTATGAGTCTTGATTAATGAACAATTGAAGAACTATCTTCTTATGGTTGTGAAAGTGTAGGCTGGGCGTGGTGGCTCATGCCTGGAATCCCAGCACTTTGGGAGGCCGAGGTGGGCGGATCACAAGATCAGGATATTGAGACCATCCTGGCTAACATGGTGAAACCCTGTCTCTACTAAAAATACAAAAAAATTAGCCAGGCGTGGTGGTGGACGCCTATAGTCCCAGCTACTCGGGAGGCTGAGGCAGGAGAATGGTGTGAACCCGGGAGGTGGAGCTTCCAGTGAGCCGAGATCGCGCCACTGCACTCCAGCCTGGGCGACAGAGTGAGACTCTGTCTCAAAAAAAAAAAAAGTGTTATTCACCGTCAATTTATGTTCATTTCTTTGTCTATGGATTTAATATTACATATCTATGTCATTCTTTGGAGAAAGTTCCAGTCATGAAGTTCAAATGCATTTTCTGGCTGGGCACAGTGGCTCACACCTATAGTCCCAGCACTTTGGGAGGCTGAGGCGGGACAATCACTTGAGCCCAAGAATTCGAGACCAGTCTGGGCAACATAGTGAGATCGCATCTTTACTAAAAATAAAAAATTAGGTATGGTGGCATGCACCTGTGATGCCAGCTATTTGGGAAGCTGAGGTGGGAAGATCACTTGAGCCTGGGAGGTCAAGGCTGCAGTGAGCTGTGATCATGCCACTGCACTCCAGCCTGAGTGACAGAGCGTTACCCTGTCTCAACAACACAACAACAACAACACAAATGCATATCCTCAAGTATATCCAAACTTGAAGTCTCCCATCTATTCCATCCTCTCCCTTCTATTGTCAAGGACTTGCCCTGTGGGAACTTGGCTTGTTCCTGCCCCACGGGCTGCTTGTTCCCCAGGTCTGCGGAACAGCTCTGAGCCTGCACCTGCCATTCACTGTCCCCTGATTTGGATTCACTATTTCTAGATCCTGCATTTCTTTCTTTGTTGGTTTCCTTCTTCGCTTGATTGAATTTCATCTTTAATTAGCTTCCTAAGAGAGACTACATGGAAATAAAAAGTCTTTCTTCTAAATGTCCATTTGATTGATGGTTTGACTGTAGATAGAATTCTAGAATGTGGCAGCTATTCATGAAACCCATTTTCTTCTCTTCCTAGGCTCACAGTTAGACTACATTCCTAGCCTCCTGAAGAGTTAGGTACAGCTGTGTGACTGAATTCCTGCCAATGAAATGTGGTGAGAACCACTTCCAGGCCTGGCCCACAGAAACCTCCCATAGACAATTCTTCATCCTCTTTCCTTTTGCATCAGGCCTGATACAGAAGAGCATGACAACTTTGGAACCCCTGCATAGAAAGCGGAGAAGCCACAAGCTGAGGAGCTTCTGGATTCTTCCAATTTTAGCAGTCCTTCCAATTTTAGCTCTGGATTTTGTTCAAATGAGAAACAAATCCCAACATTTCCAAAGCAAGTAATATTGTACAATCATAAGTCATTTCAAAATCACAGAGAAAAGTAGCAATCTTCCCAAAGAATTAAGAAAGTCTGCTAGGCCACGAAACAAGTGTTAATAAATTTGAAAAGACTGACTGAAATTATACCTCATATCTTTTCTAATCATAGTGAACTGGAACCAGAAATTAATAACAGAAGGAAAGCTGGAAAATCCACAAATACGTGGAAATTAAACAATACACTCTCAAACAACCAATAGGTTAAAGAAGAAATCATAAAAGAAATTAGAAAATATCTTGAGATAAATGAAAAAGAGAACACAACATAACAAAGCTTATGGGATGCAGTAAAGGCAGTGCTAAGAGGGCAATTTAGAGCTGTAAATGCTTACACCAGAAAGGGAGAAAGACCTGAAATCAACAAGTTCACTTTACACCTTATGGATCTAGAAAAAGAAGAACAAACTAACCTCAAAGCTAGCGAAGGAAGGAAATAATGAGAAAAGGACAGAGATAAACAAAGTAGAGACTAGAAAAACAACAGAGAAAATGAATGAAACCAAGAGTCGTTTCTCTGAAAAAATCAACAAAATTGACCAACCTTTATCTACATTAACTTAGGAAAAAAAAGAAAAAAAGAAAGAGAAGACTCAAATAAATCAGAAATGAAAGAGGGACATTACAACCAATTTCACAGAAATAGACAGTCTTTTAAGAGAATACTGTGATCAGCTGTGTGCCAAAACTTTCAATAACCTGAATGAAATGGATACATTCTAGAAACACACAACCTATCAAGACTGAATAATGAACATATAGAAAATCTGAACAGACCTTAATAAAGAGATTGAATCAGTATCAAAAAAGCTTCCAAAATAGAAAAGCCCAGGACCAAATGTCTTCCCTGGTGAATTCAACCGAACAGTTAAAGAAGAATTAACACCAACTCTCCTCAAACTCTGCAAAAAAAAATTGAACGGGAAGGAAACCTTCCACACTTATTCCACGAGGTCCTCAATACCCTGATACCAAGGGCAAACAAAGACACTACAAGAAAAGAAAGCTATAAACTAAGATCATGGCTAAATATTGATGCAAACATCCTAAACAAAATACTAGCAAACAGAACTTAACAACATATTAAAAGAATTATACCCCATGACCAAGCAAAGTTTATTCCTGGAATGCAAGGAGGTTTCAACATATGAAAATCCATCAATGTAATAAACCACATTAACAGATTAAAAGAAAAAACACATAATCATCTCAATTGATGCAGAAAAAGTATTAATATTTGGAAAAATTAACACTCATGATGAAAACACTCAACAAACTAGGGATAGAAGAAAATGTCCTCAACGTGATAAAGGCCATAGCTGAAGAGCCCACAGCCAACATCATACTCAGTGGTGAAAGACTGAAATCTTTTCTTCTAAAATCAGGAACAAGAATAGGATGACCACTGTTATGAACTAAATTGTGTCCTCTTAAATTCATATGTTGAAGCTCTAGCCCTCAGTATGACTGTTTTTGGAGATAGGGCCTTTAAGGAGGTAAGTGAGGTTAAATGAGATCAGAAGAGTGAGGTCCTAATCTGATAAGACTGTTGTCCCCATTTTTTTTTTTTTTTTTGGAGACGTGGTCTTGCTCTGTTGCCCAGGCTGGAGTGCAGTGGCATGATCTCGGCTCACTGTAACCTCCATCTCCTGGGCTCAAGTGATCCTCCCACCTCAGCTTCCCAAGTAACTGGGACTACAGGTATGCACCACCACACCCAGCAAATTTTTGTATCTTTAGTAGTGGTGGGGTTTCACCATATTGCTCAGGCTGGTCTCAAACTCTTGGGCTCAAGCAATTCATCCACCTCGGCCTCCCAAAGTGCTGGGATTATAGGCATGAGCCACTGTGCCTGGTTTAGGACTGATGTCTTTATAAGAAGAGGAAGATGCCAGGTGTGGTAGCTCATGCCTATAATCCCAGCACGTTGGGAGACCGAGGCGGGTGGATCATTTGAAGTCAGGGGTTCCAGACCAGCCTGGCCAACATGGTGAAACCCCGTCTCTACTAAAAATACAAAAATTAGCTGGGCACGGTGGCGCATACCTATAGTCCCAGCTACTCAGGAGGCTGAGGCAGGAGAATCGCTTGAAGCCGGGAGGCAGAGTTTGCAGTGAGAGTGAGCCAAGATTGCGCCACCGCACTCCAGCCTGGCAACAGAGCAAGACTCCATTAAAAAAAAATAAAAACAAAACAACAACAACAACAACACCCAAACTTCTAGAACTAATAAACAAATTTTAAAAAGTAGCAAGATACAAAATCAGCATGTATAATTCCATTGTATTTCTATGCAGGAACAATGAACAATCTGAAAAGAAAATTAAGAAAATGGTTCTAGAAACAGTCATATCAAAAATAATAAAATACGCAGGAATAAACTTCTCCAAAGAGGCAAATGAATGACTTGCACACTGAAAACTACAAAGTGTTGCTGAAATAAATTAAAAAAAACACAAAAGGAAAGATGTCTGATGTTCTGGACTGGAAGACTTAATAGCATTTAGATGTCAATACTACTCAAAAAGATCTACAGATTTAATGTAATCCCTATCAAAATCCCAAATATTTTTTTTCAGAAATAGAAAAGTCCATTGTACAATTAATATGGAATGTCAAGGGACCCCAAATAGCCAAAACAATCTTGAAAAAAGAATAGTTGTTGGCCTCACAATTCCTGAGTTCAAATTTTATTACAAAACAACAGTAATTAAAACAATGTGATACTGGCATAAAGACAGACACATAGACCAATAGAATAGAGAGACCAGAAATAAATCCTTGCATATATAGCCAAATGACTTTTGAGAAGAGTGCAAAGACCATTCAACAGGGAAAGGACAACTTTTTCAACTGGGTATGGAAACTGGGTATCTGTATGCAAAATAATGCAAAATAATGAAGTTGGACCCTTACCATACACCATACACAAAAATTAACTCAAAATGGATCAAAGACGTTACTATAAGAGCTAAAATTATAAAACTCTCTGGAGAAAGCATAGGAAAAAACATCCATGACATCAGATTTGACAATGATTTCTTGGCTGTGACATCAACATCACAGGCAACAAAAGAAAAAATAGATGAATTAGATCCATCAAAATAAAAAAAAAACCTGTGTATCAAAGGACACAATCAACAGATTGAAAAGTCAACCTACAGAATGGGAGAAAATATTTGCAAATTATCTATCTAAGTAGGGTTTAATATCCAGAATATGTAAAGAATTCCTACAACTCAACAATGAAAAACCCAGTAACACGATTAAAAACTAGGCAAAGTATTTGAGTAGATATTTCTCCAAAGAAAATATACAAGTGGTCACCAAGTAAATGAAAAGATACTCAACACCACTAATAATTACGGAAATACAAATGAAAACCACAGTGAGATACCACCTCATACCCATGAGGAAGGACACTATCAAAAGAACAGAAAATAAGTGTTGGCAAGGATGTGGAGAAACTGGAATATTGTGCATTGTTGGTGGAAATGTAAAATGGTGCAGCTACTATGGAAAACACTATGGTGGGTCCTCACACAATTAAAAATACAATTACCATAAGAACCAGCAATATCGCATGTCCATATATATTCAAAAGAATTGAGAGTAGGGTGTTGAACAGATATTTGTACAGCCAACTTCATAGCATTATTATTATTGTTATTGAGATGGAGTCTTGCTCTATCACTGAGGCTGGAGTGCAGTGGCGCGATCTGGGCTCACTGCAACCTCTGCCTCCCAGGTTCAAGTGATCCCCCTGCCTCAGCCTCCCAAGTAGCTGGCACTACAGGCATGCACGACCACACCCAGCTAATTTTTGTATTTTTAGTAGAGACAGGGTTTCACCATGTTGGCCAGTCTGGCCTCGAACTCCTGACTTCAAGTGATCTGCCTGCCTCAGCCTCCCAAAGTGTTGGGATTACAGGCGTGAGCCACTGCGCCCAGCCCATAGCAACATTATTCACAATAGCCAAAAGGTGAATAAAACCCAAATGGCCATTGACAGATGAACAGATAAAACAAAATGTGGTCTATCCATGCAATGAAATATTATTCAGCTTCAAAAAGGAAGAAAATTCATATACATACTGCAACATGGGTGAGCTTTGAGAACATTAAGTAAGGTGTCAGCCACAAATCGCATACTGTGATTTTACTTACATGAGGCTGTTAAGAGTAGTCAAACGCATAGAAACAGAAAGTAGAATGGTGGTTGCCAGCAGCTGGATGAGAGGAAACCGGAGTTGTTGTTTAATGGGTACAAAGTTTCATTTTTACTTCATGAAAAAGCCAGGGCAATTTGTGGCACAATGACTTAACACCATTGAATTGTACACTTAAAAATAGTTATGATGGTAAATTTCATGTTATGTATCTTTTTATCAGAATTAGGAATTTTATTTATTATTATTTTTAATTTTTAATTTGTTAGAGACAGGGTCTTGCTCTGTCTCCGAGGCTGCAGTGCGGTGATGTGGTCAGAGCTCACTGCAGCCTCAAATTCCTGGACTCCAGCGACCCTCCTGCCTGTCTTCCGAGTAGCTGGGACCACAGGTGCGCCACCACACCTAGATAATTTTTAGAATAATTTTTTGTAGTGATGGGGTGCCACTTCATTGCCCAGGCTGGTAGGAATTTTAGAAAAGAAAACAGACACATGATTCTCTTACAATAAATGGTTAATCTACATTACTATCTAAATTCAAGCCTCCATCGCTTAAAAAGCAGAAATCTTACAGCTTTAAAATGGTTGTTTTCCAGTTTTGGAAAGTCAAAGGGCCCATCCTTAGCTAACATATGCTACCATAAAGGCATTTTACAAAGTTACTAAATAATTTATATATCTTGAACCTTTACTAATAGATCTTAAATGTTACTAAAATGCTAATAAGTATGTTACAGTTTAGAAGTATATGTCAAAACACTAAACTCAAGTTTAAATAATTATATCTGAACGGAGGAAATGAGCTCTGGGAATATTTTTAAGCAAAAAGGCGGCATAGACCTAGTAATGGAATTGTAAGCAACTTAATCACGAGCAGCAGCCGTCTACCCCGGTGGCTGAGGCAGGGGGATCACTTGAACCAGGGAGGCAGAGGTTGCAGTAAGCCCAGATCGCGCCACTGCACTCCAGCCTCGGTGACAGAGCGAGACTCCATCTCAATAACAATAATAATAATAATAATGCTATGAAGTTGGCTGTACAGATATCTGTTCGACACCCTACTTTCAATTCTTTTGAATATATGTGGAGATGCGATATTGCTGGATCTTATGGTAATTTTATAAATAAAAAGCTACTCTTTTTATTTGTCACTGTTAATGGGAGAGTCAAAACCTTTTGTAACTGATACAGAGCTGCCTCACCTAATCAAATTCCCTTTGGGTATTGGGATTTGCCCTCATATACTCAATTTTTTCAGTTCACCCAGGAGTGACTGAGGGCTTATGAGTAGAAAAATGGTGAATAACCGACACCTTTGTATCCATGAACATGTATTTTTATTAGCTTAAAATGCAAATAGAAAGTCTTTAATGATTTAAAATGTTTTGTCTTCCATTCAAAGTACTTCTTTTGGTGAGAATTTCCCTCAGAAGCCTAATTAATAGCAACCAGGAAATTGGAGAATGTGGAGTCAGAGTATAGGGAGTTTAAGAATTTCTTTTTTTTTTTTTTTCTTTTTTTGAGACGGCGTCTCACTCTGTTGCCCAGGCTGGAGTGCAGTGGCGCAATCTCGGCTCACTGCAACCTCTGCCTCCTGGGTTCAGGTGATTCTCCTGCCTCAGCCTCCCGAGTAGCTGGGATTACAGGTGTCCTCCACTATGCCCAGCTAATTTTTTGTATTTTTAGTAGATAACAGGGTCTCACCATATTGGCCAGGCTGGTCTCGAATTCCTGACCTCATGATTCACCGGCCTTGGCCTCCCAAAGTGCTGGGATTACATGCATGAGCCACTGTGCCTGGCCGAGTTTAAGAATTCTAGTGGGGGTTCATTCAGGCCATGATAGAATTTGGAGAATCATCTCTGTAGGGCAATGAAGCATACCTTTTGCTTGTAGAAATACTCATGTCTACTAGGTGCAGCGTTTCCTTTTGATGAAAAGGGTTGGATAATGACAAATTCTTGTCATTTGACTCTTCTTCAAGACTTGATGGAGACTACTTCCGGTATATTTTGAGGACTCTTTGTCTATTAAATGGTAACTTCGTTTGGATTGGTTACATTTAGTCAACTTGAGATTTAGCACATACTCTAACTTCCACAGTATTGCTTTGGGAAGTTAATATTTCCGGGAAGCTGTTTCCTTTTATATTTTTCCTTTTAATGTTTTTGAGATATGAATCACAAAATATAAAATCCACTTTTTGGAAGTGGTTTATAGTATATTCACAAGTTGGTGCGACCATCACCACTGTGTCATTCTAGAACACTTTCACCATTTTTAAAGGAAACCCCATAAAATTAGCAGTCACTCTCCATCCCTCCCCCAACAGGCCCTGGAATCACTCACTTTCTGTCTCTATGGATTTGCCTATTCTGGATATATCACATAAATGGGACCACACAATACGTGCTCTTTAGCATTTGGTGTTTTTCAATTAGCATCATGTTCAGTCCTCTTTATGGCCGAACAATATTCCATTGTATGAATAGATCACATTTTGTTTATTGATTCTTCAGCTGATGGATATTTGCGTCGTTTCCACCATCTGGCTATTATGAACAATGCTGCTATGAACATTCACACACAAGTTGTCGTGTGGACATTTGCTTTTATTTCTTTTGGGCATATACCTAAGGGGTGAAATTGCTGGGTCACGTGGTAACTCTATGCTTAACTTTTTTAGAAACCACCAGCCTGTTTTCCAAAGTGGCTGCACCGTTTTATGTTTCTACCAGCAATGCACAAAGATTCCAGTTTTTCCGTGTCCTGGCTAACACTTATTATTTTCTGTTTTTTTTTTTAATTTTGTTTTGGTTGTGGCTTTTATTTGCATTTTCATTCTAAATGTTGTGGCTCTAGGGAAGCTTCAAATCACAGAACCCAAATTCTGACCACTGATGTGAGAATGTTAACTAAGTAGAGCCTATCAAAGTCTTTTCTGAAGTTTTTTTTTTTTTCAAAATTGGGACTATATAGAGAAAGGAGGTCTTCTTCTTGGGCTGTGAATCTGGAAAGAGAAGAGTCTGGACTTAAGGGTATAGTTTACTGGAGAAAGCTAGCATAAAAAAGTGAAGTCAACATATCAGGAAAAGCAAAGAGAAGAAAAAGGAGAAAGAGATGGAGGAAGAGGAAGGGAAGAAAAATGAGGAGAAGGAGGAAAAGAAGAATAATGAGGCCGGGCGCTATGGCTCACACCTATAATCCCAGCACTTTAGAGGCTGAGGCAGGCAGATCACCTGAGGTCAGGAGTTCGAGACCAGCCTGGCCAACATGGTGAAACCCTGTCTCTATTGAAAATACAACAAAAAATGGCCGGGTGTGGTGACGCATGCCTGTAGTCCCAGCTACTCAGGAGGCTGAGGTGGGAGGGTCACTTGAACCCGGGAGGCAGAGGCCGCAGTGAGCTGAGATTGCTCTACTGCACTCCAGCCTGGGCAACAGAGAGAGACTCTGTCTCAAAAAAAAAAAAAAAAAAAAAGCCAGGCACAGTGGCTTAGGCCTGTAATCCTAGCACTTTGGGAGGCTGAGGTGGGCAGATCACCTGAGGTCAGGAGTTCAAGACCAGACTGACCAACATGGAGAAACCCCATCTCTACTAAAAATACAAAATTAGCTGGGCGTGGTGGCACATGCCTGTAATTCCAGCTACTCGGGAGGCCGAGGCAGGAGAATCGCTTGAACCCGGGAGGCAGAGGTTGCAGTGAGCCGAGATCGCGCCATTGCACTCCAGCCTGGGCAACAAGAGTGAAATTCCATCTCAAAAATAATAATAATAATAATAATAATAATAATAATAATAATAATAATAATGAGATAAGTGGAGGGGGCAGGGGAGAGGAGTTGGAAGACAAGGGGGCAATTGCTTTCTTTCCATAGTGTGAAGCTGGACGAGCAGGAGCTCCTAGCGGGTGGGGAGTGGTAAATGTGGTCCTTCATCGGAGCTAGATCAGGAATTGGGAAGGAAAGACCCTGGGTGCTGCCAGGCATACGTCAATCCCTTGGGGTTAGAGTTTAGGTGTGGCGAGAGAAGAGGGGGACTAGGGTCCTGAGCGTAGCTACTTACAACAAGGCTCCGAGCTCTGTACTTAGATAACAACCACGTTTGATAATAACAATCTGTTCATATATTCTTTACCAGCTGAATCTAACCGTGACAGAACCTCAAACGAATCTAAATTAAGGGAACTTTCTACAAAATAACAAGCCTGTACTCTTCAAAAATGTCAGTGTCATAAAAGATAAAGAAAGGCTCAGCAACGATTCCAGATGGAAAAGACCAAAGGGACAGAACCACTAAATGCATTGCGTGATTATGGATTGAGTCATCAGTTAAGGAAAATTTTGCCATAAAAGGCATTATTGGGACAACTGACAAAATTTGAATTTGTTTCTTGATTTTTGTAATCATCTCATGGTTATGTTCAAGCATGTACTTACGTTCATGTATTTGAGAGAAAAGGAACGTGATATTTACAGATTACTGTCAACTGGTTCAGAGAGAGAGAAAGGGAAAATGATAAAGGTAACGTGCTAAAACATTAACAATGGTGAATCTGGGTAAAATGTATGTAGGAGTTCTTTGTACTTTTTTCTGCAGATTTTCTCTAAGTTTGAAATTATATCAAAATAAAAGGTTAAAAAAATAATATTGGCAGGGCATGATGCTCGTTCCTGTTATCCCAGCACTTTGGGACCGAGGCGGGTGGATCGCTTGAGGCCAGGAGTTCGAGACCAGTCTGGCCAACATGGCGAAACCCCGTCTCTATTACAAATACAAAAATTAGCCGGGTGTGGTGGAACATACTTGTAAACCCAGCTACTTGGGAGGGTGAGCCAGAAGAATCACTTGAACCTGGGAGGTGGAGGTTGCAGTGAGCCGTGATTACACCACTGCACTCCAGCCTGGGCAACATAGCAAGACACTCTCTCAAATATAAAAATGATAATAATAATATTTAGGGAGGACCTAGTATGTGCCAGTCATTGCTCTAAACACTTGAGCACTGAATATCTGCTTATTTTAAAAATTGTAGGCCGGGCGCGGTGGCTCACGCCTGTAATCCCAGCACTTTGGGAGGCCGAGGCGGGCGGATCACGAGGTCAGGAGATCGAGACCATCCCGGCTAAAACGGTGAAACCCCGTCTCTACTAAAAATACAAAAAATTAGCCGGGCGTAGTGGCGGGCGCCTGTAGCCCCAGCTACTTGGGAGGCTGAGGCAGGAGAATGGCGTGAACCCGGGAGGCGGAGCTTGCAGTGAGCGGAGATCCCGCCACTGCACTCCAGCCTGGGCGACAGAGCGAGACTCCGTCTCAAAAAAAAAAAAAAAAAAAAAAAAAAAAATTGTAGTCCAAGTGTTTTGCTTAAAATGCCTTTTCAGACTTTTAATTTTTTTTTTTTTGAGACAGGGTCTCACTCCATTACTCTGTGTAACAAACACACTTTGATGTTACAATGTTTTGCCTTCAAGGGGTTTACATTCTAGTAGGGGAAGGAAGAATACATGAAATAAGGAAAATATATTGTAGATTGGATGGTGAGGCAGGAAATGCAGGAAAATAAGCAGGGTAGGAGGATAAGAAATTCCAGAGTGAGGTGTTTGCAATTTTTCTTTTTCTTTTCTTTTCTTTTTTTTTGACACAGAGTCTCATTCTCTTGCCCAGGCTGGAGTGCAATGGCGTGATCTCAGCTCCCTGAAACCTCTGCCTCCCAGGTTCAAGTAATTCTCCTGCCTCAGCCTCTCAAGTAGCTGGGATTACAGACGCCCACCACAATGCCCAGCTGACTCTTTGTATTGTTAGCAGAGACAGGGTTTTGCCACATTGGCCAGACTGGTCTTGAATTCCTGACCTCAGATGATCTGCCCACCTTGGCCTCCCAAAATGCTGAGATTACAGGCATGAGCCACCACACCCAGCCAATGTTTGCAATTTTAAACAGGTGGTGGGCTGGATGCCTCTTTTGTATGCTTCAGACCTCAGCCTCACCTGTCACTTATTGCAGACATAAATAAGGCAAACAGTTGACTCTGAGCAGCTTGACATTAGGTGCAACCTGTGAGCACCCCATGCCTTTCGGCTCCCGTCTCAGGGCTCTTCTGGAGATGACAAGGTGTGGGCCACACCTCTCAGTGCTGTTGCCTGTGCAACCCAGAAGTGCAGGTCACCTAACACCTCCCTGAGGCTAACCTGTGGCCAGTGTGTGACAGGAGCTGACATGCCTCTTCCTTCCTCCTCCCATCTCCCTATACATGGAGGGTATTTTGAAAGGTTTCTCCATGGGTCCTGTGGGACCAGTCGCCCCCTTCCTAATGCCACCTCACAACCTTGGTAGGCTCTCCCATCTCCCCTGCACTACTCTCCTTCTCCCTCCCTTCTGGTCCCTCTCATGAACTCACACATAAGCATTTGACTCAGATTCTGTTTTCTGGGGAACCTAAGCTAAAACAGTTGGCAGTTAAGAGCTCATCAAGAAGAATACCTTTGAAATGGAGATTTATTGAGCATTTAAAACAATCCAGTGGGATGGGTTCCATTATTATTATCTCTTTTCATTGTTAAGGAACTGAGTTTTGGGGAGATGATATAACTTGCCCAAGATCAGGCAGTGTAGAAGGGGCAGAACGCAGTTAGTCTGATTCCTGCTTATTCTCCAAGCCTGTGCTCTCTCAGCCTCCTATCTCTCCTCGTATTTATTAACGCCATTTTGAAAGTGCCAGTGTCTATCAGCCAGGGCAACGGAAACTTAAGAAAGGGTTTTTATTGTCAACGTTGGGGTCTCGGTGTTAAGAGATTAATAACTGGGGTCATGGGACTGGTGATACTATTCTTACTGTATCAGTCAGAACAGGCTAGGTTTTGCTGCTCTAACAGACAGCCACAATGTTTCAGTGGCAAAAAATAAGACTTAGTTCTTGCCATTGCTACATTTCCACTGCCAGACAATGGGGGGTTTCTGCTTCACACTGTTTTGTAATCCAGGCTGATGGAGCAGCCACCGCCAGGATCATGGCTGGTTGTCCTGGCAGAGGAATGAAAGGGTGCTCCACACGGTCTCACACCAGCAACTTAGTGCTCTGCTCTGCACAGAAGTTATAAATGCCACATTCTGTCATGACTTGTTAGCCTGGATTACCCCACCCAACCCAAGGGGGCGAGGAAGCAATCCCATCATATGTCTGGAAGGCAGAAAGCCAGAAATAATCTGTTGAGCAGCACAGATGACTGTCACACCCCCTGGGAAAACCCCAAGGGGAAATGAAACTCAGGCGACAGAGGCAAATTCTCCATGGTCAACATCTTGTCCTTGTACAGAACATCTCTTAGATTTGAAGGAGACAGAGTATCTCTCAGATTAGTGTGTGTTTATGCATATATATATATATATATATATATATATATATATACACATATGTCATTTTTTTTTTTGAGACAGGGTCTCACTCTGTCACCTAGACTGGAGTGCAGTGGCAGCATCTCAGCTCACCACAACCTCCATCTCCTAGGCTCAAGCAATTCTCCTGCTTTAGCCTTTCAAGTAGCTGGGATCATAGGCACTTGCCACCATGCCTGGCTAATCTTTATATTTTTAGTAGGGATGGAGTTTCACCATGTTGGCCAGGCTGGTCTTGAGCTCCTGACCTCAAATGATCCATTTGCCTGGCCTCCCAAAGTGCTGGGATTACAGGTGTGAGCCACCATGTCCGGCCATAAATGTACTTTTTAACTGAATATTTGCTTATTTTAAAAATTGTCGTCCAAGTGTTTTGCTTAAAATGCCTTTTCAGACTTTTATTTTATTTTTTGAGACAGGGTCTTACTCTGTCACCCAGGCTGGAGTGCAGTGGTGCGATCTTGGTTTACCACAATCTCCACCTCCTGAGTTCAAGGGATTCTTGTGCCTCAGCTTCCCAAGTAGCTGGGATTGCAGGCTTGCACCACCATACCTGGCTAATATTTGTATTTTTGGTAGAGACTGGGTTTCACCATGTCGGCGAGGCTGGTCTCGAACTCCTGGCCCCAAGTAATCCACCTGTCTTGGCCTCCCAAAGTGTTGGGATTACAGGTGTGGCCCTCCATGCCCGGCTTAGACTTTTAATTATTTTTTTAGGAAGGGTGGCAATAACTCCAAGATTGAAAACAGGCTTGATCACTGCCTAAATAAATGTTGACATTCTTTTTAACCTCAACATAGTTATGTCTTAATAATAGTTTTTTTTCATGTACCCCCTGTTTACTACAAGACACAGTTTACACATTACCTGAATAAGAACACAATGTAAAAGGGTCACCACTAGCCATTATCTGTACTGTCAAATGCTGGCTTAAGTCTGTCCACCAGTGCAAATTTTGTTATGTTTTAGTCCACTGACATCATGAATATGATAAGAGGGTTCTTGTATTGACTTGTTTCTTTGCTCTAGATTTTGTAACTTCAGAAAAGGTGAACCCTAAAATTTTATTTGTCAAAAAAAGTATATTTGCTATTCTCTGAGAAATGCCTTGATACTGGTATGACACGTATGTCTGAAATTGGCCATTCTTCAGCTGGACTGCATCCTCCCAGGTGAACGATGATAACATCATATTGGGATCTTTATTGAAGAGAATAGAGTATAGCTTTTGCCTTCTTCTTGTCAGCATTTTGCCTGATATGTTGTTATAGAAGGAAATTCACTTGCTCCTGCAGAGTTTGCTTCTTTCAAAGCTCTGCTAGTTGCCCTTGAGTACTTTAGATTTTGTTCCTCTGGTTACTTGGAAGGGAATTATTTCATAGTTTATCTTAGTATCTCCCAGATAGCAAAGTTAAATGGATGATATGTAATCACCACAGCTGTCTTTTATTTTTCCACTTTAAAAGTGCCCCCTTCCCAGTCTTAGGCACTATGGATCCTCCAGAAATGCCACCAAATTCCACAGTGACCTTATAATATATACCAGTCCTCCCCTTAAGCTGCTTGTTGCCAGATAGTGAAAATACGAACAAAGTCATGTGTAACAAAACCTAAGAAAAGCACTAACGGCCAAGAGACACATGTATTGAGTCTTTGCCTGAAGACCAACAGGGTTAGGGGATTATAAAAAATGATGATTAACCCACAGTTACCCTGGATTGGGAAGGGACCAGCAATCTCACTCTAAATTCAATCATTCATTGTTGTCTGTCGATCGTTTGTTGAATACTTACCATGGACTGTATTTTGAAGTTATGAATGGGCAGGTAAATGACACAGTCAGATTTAAATTTTAGGAAAATCGTGCTGTTAGTAGTGGGAGCACAGCTATGTATGACCCAGAGGAGCAGATTGGAGATACGAAAAAATCTGTAGCAATCCAAACATGAAGCGATAAGAGATTAAATTAAAACAGTGGTAGTGGGGCTGATGGGGAGGAAACACATTCAAGAGCTATCTGGGGATAGGATTTACACGTGCTGACTTGTTGGATGTGGGCAGAGATGAGAAGGAGGCACTAGAGGGTGTCCAGGTAGTTATTCATTGGTGCCTTTCATTGAGAGAGTGAATACTTTCCTTGAGGAAGGGTGGTGTGTGTGGTGTTAAGTTAGTAGTGAAGGTATTGCTGAAAGGGATATGATGAATTAATTACGTTGTCCTGGAGGTCAAAGAAAATTTCACTTATTTATTTATTTTTGAGACAGAGTCTCACTCTGTCACCCAGGCTGGAGTGTAGTGGCACAATCTTGGCTCACTGCAACCTTCACCTCCTGCCAGGTTCAAGTGATTCTCCTGCCTCAGCCTCCTGAGTAGCTGGGACTTCAGGCATGCATCACCACACCCGGCTAATTTTTATGTTTTTAGTAGAGACAGGGTTTCACCATGTTGGCCAGGCTGGTCTTGAACTCATGACCTTGAATGACCTGCCCGCCTCAGCCTCCCAAAGTGCTGGGAATACAGGCGTGAGCCACTGTGCTTGGCCAAACATAATTTTTAATGGCCTATTTTGTTTTTTTTGAGACAGGGTCTTGCTCTGTTGCCCAGGCTGTAGTGTGGTGGTGTAGCCGTGGCTTACTACAGCCTCCACCTCCTGGGTTCGAGTGATCCTCTCACCTCAGCCTCCTGAGTAGCTGGGACTATGGGTATGTGCCACCATGCCTGGCTAATTTTTTATTTTTATTTTTGCAGAGACCAGGTTTCACCAGGTTGCCCAGGCTGGTCTCGAACTACTGGACTCAAGTGATCCTCTAGCCTTGGCCTCCCAAAGTGCTGGGATTACAGGCATGAGCCACTGCACCTGGCCTTTAATTCCATTAAATGGGCTACTTTAATTTAACGAATACTTTATTGACAGGTAGGTTGCTTCCAATTTTTTATATTGTAAACAAGGATGTGGCAAACAGAACTATCAGAGCTCTTTGGGCTTTTTGGTATTATGTGCTTAGAAAATACTCCTAGAAACTAAATTACCAAATCGAAGTACTTACATTATAAAGTCTAGTTCATATTATCAAAATGCTCTTTAAATTCTACCAATTTACACTCCTGTTAGTAATGTATGGTAGTGCCTGTTTCACCACATTTTGGGTGTTAATTGGTCTTTCAAAAAATAATTAATGCACTTTATTAACTTTCTTTTTAAAATGTTACTGTGGTAAGAACTCTTAACATGCTACCTACCCTTTTGGCAGATTTTCATATGCATGATACAGGCACATGGCTAACCAATTTATTAAATCTTTGCTATATGACAGGTGAATAATTATATTCCACTGGCCTCCACTGAGATTCATTTGATTATTTATGAAGCTGAACAGATGTTTATCACTTTATTTCTATTTCTCATGAACTTCCTTGTCATGGACTTTGGTGGCTGTCTGGTTTTCTTTTGGAGTTTTTAAAGCAAAACAATATATTAAGACAGGACAACAACAATTATTACTGTTATTATTATTATTATTATTATTATTATTATTATTATTATTTTGAGACAGAGTCTCCCTCCATTGCCCAGGCTGGAGTGCAGGGGCGCGATCTGGGCTCACTGCAACCTGTGCCTCCCAGGTTCAAGCAATTCTCCTGCATCAGCTTCCTGAGGAGCTGGGATTACAGGTGCCCACCACCACACCTGGGTAATTCTTGTATTTTTAGTAGAGACAGGGTTTCACTATATTGGCCAGGCTGGTCTTGAACTCCTGACCTTGTGATCTGCCCTCCTTGGTCTCCCAAAGTGATGGGATTACAGGCGTGAGCCACCGCGCCCGGCCAACATTTTTTCATAGAACATACTATAGACTTCCCATTGGTGTATAGGAATAATATACTAATAAATATACAAATGTATTTATATGTTGCTGTAGAATCTAGTACAGTGATTTTTTCCACAGTCTGGCTAAACAAGCTCATTTATTAAAGGAAATGAGTCTTTCAAGGGTAGGTCGATTTCAGTGATTATAGAGTTAACCTGGGTCAATAAATCTAGCTTATTTCTGTGGAAATTTTATAGTATGGTCTAAGAATCTTATATACACATGAGAGCTAAAATCATAAAACTTTTTAGAAGAAAACATAGGGGTAAATATTAATGAACTTGGATTTTACAATAGATCTTTAGATATAACGCTAAAAGCACACAACAAGAGAAAAAAATAGATAAATTGGACTTCATCAAAATGGAAACTTTTGTACACCAAAGGACATGATCAATAAAGTGAAAAGACAACCTAGAGAATGGGAGAAAATATTTGCAGATCATATATCTGATAAGGGTCAGAATATGTAAAGAATTTTTACAACTCAACAAAGAAGACAAACAACCCACTTCAAAAATGGGCGAAGGACTTGAATAGACATTTCTCCAAAGAAGATATTCAAATGGCCAATAAGCACATGAAAAGATACCCAACATTACTAGTCATTAGGGAGATGCAAATCAAAACCACAAGGTACCACTTCACACTCACAAGGATGGCTATAATCACAAAAACAGAAAATAACAAGTGGTGGTGGGGAGGTGGAGAAATTGGAACACTTGTGCACTGTTGGTGGGAATGTAAAATGGCACAGCACTGTGGGAACAGCTTGGCGCTTCCTCAACAAGTTATATATAGAATTACCATATGATCCTGCAATTCCACTCTTCAACATATACCCAAAATGACTGGAAAACAGGTCCTCGAAAAAAAAATACATGTACACTTACGTTCATAGCAGCACTATTCACAGTAACCAAAGGGTGGACCCTCAACTGTCCATCAACAGAAAAATAAACAATTGTGTTGTATACAAACAATGGAATATGATTCAGCCATGAAAAGAAATGAAGTATGTATACAAGTTGTCATATGCGTGAGCCTCGGAAATGTTATGCTCAGTGAAAGAAGACTGACACAAAAGGTCAGATATTGCATGATTCCAATTATATGAAATATTCGGGGTGAATCCAAAGAGACAGAAAACAGTGAGGGTTGCCAGGAACCGGAAGATGGAAAATGGAGAATAAATGCTTAATGGCTATGCGGTTTTCTTTTGGGGTGATGAAAATATTTTGGAACTAGATAGAGGTGGTGGTTGTACAACATTATGGATGTACTAAATGCTACCGTAGGGTTCACTTGAAAAACGGTTGATTTTATTTTATGTGAATTTCACCTTAATAACAGCAACAAAATCTTACGTGAATGAGTCATCAGGGGCAAGACATACTGACATACTTTTAATGCTCAGCTATCAGATAATTTCAACAACAAAATGAATAAATACTGATTCTCAGCTAAACTGCCAAAATGAAGACGGCAGAAAGCAGTGTTATCCAAAGCGTAAGATGTGTTCTACTGATGGTAGATAAGATGGCAAAGCTTTAAATAACCTTGCCTCACATAGTGAGAAATTTAATTTTTCAGAGGTTTTTTTCACCCTTTAGTTCTTGTGAATATATCAGTGAGTCTTAATCTGCAGTTAGGGTGTTCGCTGTTAGTACAAGTAACATCTCTAACACATGCTAATCACATCTTTGAAGAAAGAGGAGCAGGCTTCAGGCTCAGAGCCCTTTACTAACTGGTTTTAATATCACCGTTTGGATTTCAGTGTGTTCATTTTTACTTTTATCTTCCATTTATGTAGCAAAACAGTTTTGTGAGTTGCATTATACTTTATGATGCAAAATTTCCTCTTTATTTACATAGAAATGTGAGTCAACTTAGAAAGAAAGAAAAACAATAAACAATAATATCAATGGTTATGAAGATTTGGGGGGGAAAGTGGAACCCGGATGATTAAATAGGACACACTGACATAAAAAAAAGTACACCCTAGATTTGAGATATAAGGTTCTAAGTCTCTTGCCAGCCTTGCAACTTTGAGCTACAGTTTCTGCCTGCCTGCAGAGATTTTATGGAAAGTGCTATACAAGTGTAAATTACTATTATTATGAAATGACTATTTGTTTAGGGTGTTATGTGTATCACAGAGGCTGGGAGGCCTGGAGCTGCATTTCCCAGAGTCTCCTGCCAGCACAGTTCTGATAAGGTTTAGGTTGTGCCAATGAGGTGCACTCAAGGATTTGAAAGACGCAAGGAGCATGTCATTCTTTCTGTGACAGTGGCAGCTGACACAAGGGGTTTGACAAATATAAACTTTTTTTTTTTTTTTTGAGACAGAGTCTTGCTTTGTTGCACAGGCTGGAGTGCAGTGGCGCAATCTTGGCTCACTGCAACCTCTGCCTACCGCGTTCAAGCAATTCTCCTGCCTCAGCCTCCTGAGTAGCTGGGACTATAGGCACATGCTGCCACGCCTGGCTAATTTTTTGTATTTTAGTAGAGACAGGGTTTCATCATGTTGCCCAGGCTGGTCGCGAACTTCTGAGCTCAGGCAATCCACCCACCTTAGCCTCCCAAAGTGTTGGGATTACAGGCACGAACCACCGAGCCTGGCCAACAAATATAAACGTTGGCAGTGAAGTTAGACCCCAAAGACCATCCCTGGCTATCCCCAGCTTCTGAGCTGCAAGGAGAGCAGCTGTGACATGGACAGTGATTGATTACCTGTCATTTATTGCAATTTCTGATCTCTGAGTACAGCAGCTTCCTGACACTGGGTCCACAGGTGATATGGAATAACCTGAAATTAGTAGTGCTACCTTCTCAACTTTTGCCCATTCACTCCTTCCAAAGACTTTGTATGCATCTGATTCCCTATATTGAATATCTTCCTGTTGGTGATACCTTGAGTAGTTTCTTTTTTCCTGGCTGAACTCTCATTTAAATATTATTTGTTTCATTGAATTTATAAAATACTGACATTTTTTCTGGGTCCAGTGGCTCATTCTTGTAATCCTAGTACTTTGGGAGGCCAAAGTGGGAGGATTGCTTGAGGCCAGGAATTTGAGACTAGCCTGAGCAATAAAGCAATACCCAATCTCTAAAAAATAAATAAATAAATAAAAATAAAATAAAATAAAATAAAATAAAAAATAAAAAAATAGCCAGGCATGGTGGCACACACCTCTACTCCCAGCTACTTGAGAGGCTGAGGTGGGAGGATTGTTTGAGCCCAGGAGTTTGAGGTGACAGTGAGCTTCAGTGTACTCCAGTTGGGGCCACAGAGTGAGACCATGTCTCTAAAAGCAAAAACAAAAACCAAAACAAACAACTGACATTTTAATAATAATACAATAATAGTTAATGTTTGGTGAGTGTTTACCAACTACTAGTTATTGGGCTAAGCATTTTACATGCATAATCTCATTTGGTTCTCATAAGAACCCTTCTGAGGTCATTTCTTTTACTCTCTGTATTTTGTAGAAGAATAAACTGAAGCAGAGGGTTTTGCAATCAATCCAAGTGTCAGAGCTGGCAAGCAGCAGATCCAGGATTTGAACTCAGGTGGTCTAACTCCAAAGACTGCTTGATTACTCTACACTCTACTGTCCTCCCTGTACAATAAAGTTCACTTCAGGTCTATGATAGAGTCTTCTTTAGGTCTGAAACCAGAAGTGTCTCAGATATCAGAAGGTTTGATTTTTAGAAGGGTGACACAACACATGTATGGTGTACTGTTTAAAGGTGTCATAAGTGGGATCTGTACCAGCACCTTGTCATGAAACAAAGACTTCTGTAACAAAATGAGTGTTAATATTAAATAAGATAAAGACCCTTAATAGCCAAAGGAAAGTTCTATTGCTACCAAAAGAATTTAGGTGCCCAACTTATGAAAAACACTTTTGGTTTTCAGAGCTTTGTGGATGAGGAATTGTGGACCTGTAATTTTCATGAAGTATAAACAAACAGAAAATAGAAGCTGAGCATATACATATGCATATATATATATACATATATATATATGTGTATATATATATATATATATATTTTCTCATCTATTGTCCCATTTTCATTGATTCTTTAGCCTGGCTACTTGTGACCACCACTTCTTTCCCTTTTTTAGCCAAAGTATGTGGCCAAGGACTTATTTCATATCGAAGTCAAGTGCAATTGCAACTATATTTACTTTACAGACTCCGAGAGATGGAAGTCCTTATGTTGTTTCACAAAGTAACGACCCTACCTCAAAGAAAAGACTTAGACAAAAGTAGCAATTTAGTGAAAAAAAAAATGTCCTTGAATACCCTGGGATCTGCTACAGTTCACTCCATTCTTCTATAACTTGACATTTTCATACATCCCTTCTGTTAATTTTGATGAAACTATTTATTAAAGTTTTAGCTAAACCATGCTAAAGGCCTTAGCGCTGTATTTTTAATCAATGCATTCCAGTTGTCTGCAGGTGTATAACAAACCACCCTAAGCTCAAAAGCTTAACACACAATTTATTATGACATTCATGGTTCTACGGGGTTGACTGGGCTCACCTGAGACATCCTCACTTGGGATTTCTCATGGGGTCACACTGCTGGGGCCTGAGGCATCTGAAGATTTAACTGTGCTGGACATTCAGGATGCCCAACAGCAGTGAATGCTGGCTGATGTCTGAGGACTCAGCTGAGGTTGTCATCCAGACCAGCTACATGTGGCCTCTCCATGTGACTTGGGCTCCTATCAGTATGGCACCTGAGTGTCCGGAGGGAGTGCGCTAAGTATTTCAGAGGCCCAGGTGGAAGCTGCAAAACTTAGGATCTAGCCTTAGAAATCACTCAGCATCGCTTCCCCCACAATCTTGTGAAAAGTGAGTCACAGAGCCGGCCCAGACTCAAGAGGAGGGTGAATATTGGATGGCACAGTTCACTGGGAGGCCATCTGTGAAAACTGTTGCCACACAATTTATAAAGACTTATGAGAACAAGGGTTTAAAGGTTAATTCAAAGGTCACATATACAGAGGCAAGAGTTTTATGCCTCTAAAACAGAGACAAAAATGCCGTGAAATTCTACTTCATTTTTTTAGTATCTTATAATATTTTTTATTACAACTCTGCTTGATGAGACTTAACAAAAAATAAATAAATGGCATGGCGTCTAAGAGATGGCCAAATGGATGGTTGTAGAATGGCAACTGTAAGTTGAGCAGGCAGGAGAAATTCTCTAAAGCTGTAAAAACATATTGAGACACTTTTCAAACGATACGACATCATTATAGATTTCTGGCAAACCATGATGACAATTTTGGTATGTAATCAGGAACAGGGTGTCTTGTGAGCAAAAGAGCAGAGGAGATCATGAGAGGCAGCTTTTGTAGTTGAAAAGCAGTCATTCTTACTGTTTTTTTTTTTTTTTTTTGAGTCACAGACCCCTTTGAGCATATGAAAAAAAGTTAGGAACTTTCTGCCTAGAAAACAAGCATGTTTGCATATTTTTGTTCTTTCTTTCTTTCAGTCATTCTTTCCTCCCTCCTTCCTTCCTTCTCTCCCTCCCTCTCACCTTCCTTCCTTTCATTCTTTCTACAAATATTTGCAGGGAGCTAATTATGTATTAGATACTGATCTGAACCAAGGAATGGAGAAGGGCAGAAGACAGATAAGTTTCCCAGTCTCATGGAATGTACATTCTAAAGATAGGGAATCAGAAAGAAACTCAGCACACCAATAAATAATACAACCTCAGAGTTATAGGTAACAAACTGTGTTACTTACGATGTTGGGTTCACAGTTCTTCATGGGGTCCTCTTTCTCACACTGCGATCAGTAACTTCTCTTTTAAACTAAAGGCTTTGGGCCAGGCGTGGTGGTTCATGCCTATAATCCCAGCACTTTGGGAGGCCGAGGTGGATGAATCACTTGAGGTCAGGAGTTCGAGACCAGCGTGGCCAACATGGTAAAACCCTGTCTGTACTAAAAATACAAAAAATTAGCCAGGCATGATGGCATACGCCTTTAGTCTCAGCTACTTGGGAGGCTGAAGCAGGAGAATTGCTTGAACCCAGGAGGTGGAGGTTGCAATGAGCCCACATTGTGCCACTGCACTCCAGCCTGAGTGACAGAGCGAGACTCTATCTAAAAAAAACAAAACAAAACGAAACCAAAAAGCTTTGTGTATGAGCAGTGTGGATGTGGCTATTGGTTACCCATTGCCTTTTCACTTACACACAGATGTTGACTGATCTTTTTTTCGTCCGTAAAGAATAGTTATATGTAGTGTCATTGGAGCTGACTTTTCTAGTCAATAGAAAAGCATTGGCTTCTCATGAGATTTCAGAAATTACCCTGGCTGGTGAGCATGAATATGGGCATTGCAATGCTTTCCACAGCCTTATTTAAAAAAAAAAAATCCCTCCCTTAGGGAACTATCTCTCTTAAAAAAAATTAAATGAATCAAATGGCCATGGATTCACATTTCAAAGTCTCACTTTACAGGAGACTCGAAGACCTGACCCTTTCATCCATATTTTGAAGATGACAGTGAAGGATAGATAATTTGGAGAATTTCTTTCCTCCATGTTCTATGTTCTTATGTCCTCATCACAAATTGTACTTCTGGCCTTAGTTATTATGGGATCCTGTGGGGGATTTAAACCTGTACTTTTACCATTGGCAAGATTTTAAATATTGTCATTAGCATAATACATAACTTTTGCAAAAACGAAATGCAAATATCCATCTCTCTTATTCCATGATGATGGACGAGAGGTGGTCCTAACCTTTGGTATTGTGGAATATTTTAAATGGTAACACAAATCGTTAGACCATACTTCTTTTTACTTTTTGTTACGTTCCTGCTGTACAGCTTTCACCCTCCCTTCAGTTGAAGGGTATTTTAATATTTGGCATGTCATGTTAGAGTGAATATAATCATGGAGTGAATATAATCTAGCTATAATTGTTTAGAGCAGGGATTGACAAAGTACAGGTGAGGTGACACTGTTGACACTTTGACTTGGGGAAAAAAATTGGGGGATTTCTGAACTGTAATAATACCATAGAGTCAGAGTGCTATTATGAAAGTATAAAATTGAGACAGGGGTGCTCATAATCAAGTCCAAAACAGTGTTTTCAAAATTAGCCATATAATTTATGGAAAAAACGTATCTGAAATTTCCAGTTTATTTTGCCAAGTAAGCCTGGGGCCAGGGTTGTCCATCCAAAATCCCATTAATTCATTAACTAGTGACTTTGGGTTCTCATCCATGATGTTTGCAATCATGTCCCTTGACTGTCTTTTTTTTTTTTTTTTTTTGAGACAGGGTCTCTGTCTGTCACCCAGGCTGGAGTCCAGGGGTGCGATCTCAGCTCACTGCAGCCTCCGCCTCCCGGGTTCAAGTGATTCTCCCATCTCAGCCTCCTGAGTAGCTGGGACTACAGGGACACATCACCAAGCCCAGCTAATTTTTTTATTTCTTGGTAGAGACGGCGTTTCATCATGTTGGCCAGACTGGTCTTCAACTCCTGACCTCAAGTGATCCGCCCACCTTGGCCTCCCAAGACTGATGTCTCTTGAGCATCTCTGTGGTTCCAAGGTCTCCTTTAGTGATGGGAGACCACAATCATAGCAATTTAATTCAGTAAGCATTTACTGAGGACTTTTTATGTGCAAAGCAATCTGCTGGGTCCAGCAGGGGCTACAAAGAGATACGAGTGAGGGCTCTTTCCTGTCAGGAATTGAGAATAGCCCAGTCTGGGTGATTGCTAACCTGGGAATCCTGTAACTTTCGGAGAAGTATTTGGTTGTTGAAAATAACTCTGGTCTGCTTTTAGCCCCTCAATTCATGTATTAAATGAGTTATGCCATTTTGGTATCAGGATCCTAAAAATAAATACTAGTCTTCAGAAACCTGGTTTAAATGAATGAAAGAAGCCCCAAAAGGAAGTATAGATTTGTATTTTCTTAAACAGCGTATACACAGTCATGTGCCACATAACATCGTTTTGGTCAACGATGGACTGCACATACGATGGTGGTCCCATAAGGTTATAATGGAGCTGAAAAATTCCTATGGACTAGCGATGTCATAGCCATGGTAACATTATAGCCCAATGTGTTACCTTGTCTATGTTGAAATACACAAATTCTTCCCATTGTATTGCACTTGCCTACAGTGTTCAGTATAGTCACATGCAGAACAGGTTTGTAGCCTAGGAGCAATAAGTCACACCTTATAGCCTAGGTGTGTAGGAGGCTCTACTATCTAGGTTTGTGTAAATATACTCTATGATGTTCGCACAATCACGAAATTGCCTAAGGATGAATTTCTCAGACTGTATTGCTGGGTATCCCTGTCGTTAAGATTACCACACTTGAGAGCTAGAAGGAGCCTTAGAGACCAAACCTAATCTGAGTCACAGTTCTCAAAGTTTGGGTGCTAGCAAAGAGCCTGTGACCCTGCCTCCTCCTTCCACCCCTTCTGTGAGATATTGGGCGCAGCATTCAGTTTCTTCGTGTCAGTTTTCACCAGCTGGAAAAGAGAGATAAAAGGCACAGTGCAGGGTTGCCAGGTTCAGTAATTCTAGTTCCTGGAATCAAGGACAGGAAGCCTTTTGGTTACTTGTACACCCTAACTTTTCTAGCTTCGATTGAATCAATCATTTAACTGTCAGCTAATTACGGCTTTGGGAAGTTTACATCATTCATCTTTTTATGGCACCCCTTAATGGGAGGCTTTGGAGATTAAAACTCTTGACAATTTCCACGATGTAAAAAAGGAAAGTTGACCTACAGAAAGATGGGACAGTGATGAACATTTGAGAAGCTTGAAGCAGCAATGGGATCTACACAGTAGCCTACTTAAAGTAGTGCTGATGTGAACGCTTAGCCTAAGTTCCTGAAAAATGACAGCAGTGTCACCTATGTCAGTAGCAATGGCATTTTATTGAGCTTTGCACTTACTACCAAGCACTCGCTTGTTCCAGGACAGCCCCATGAGGCAGGTCCTATTATCATTCCACTTTACAGATGAAGAAACTGAGGCACAGGGAAAAGTGTCCAAGGGCTGACACCTGGTAAGTAGTTGAGGCAGAAATGAAAAAAAAAAAAAAGCCAGGCTGGCTCCGGAGACCATCCTCTCGCCCCCTACTCAGCTGACCTCCCTACGTCTCTGCTATCCTCTGACCTGCCGGCTGGACACGCCAATGTCGCTCGTTTGCGTGCCCCGAAGCCCCGCTTTGGGTCCTGGGCTTCCAGCGCCCGCTTCCCGCCGAGGGGCTCCGGGCACCTGCAGCCCTGGGCGCGCGTCCCCGAGGCGGGCGGGAGCGCGCACGGCGGGAGTGCGGGAGCGGAGCGCACGTGCCGCCGGGAAGGGGCCGCGCCAATATGGCGGCGGCTGCGGCCGCTGCGGTGACGGTTGGCGGCGGCCGGTGAGGCGGGCGGGGCCGGAGGCGCGGAGGCGGGGTCCCGGGCGAGCCGCCCTGGGAGGCGGGGGCCGTTTCCATAGCGGCGGCAGGAGGTGTCGCGCCGGGGAACTTCCTGGTTCCCGGGCTCGGCTTCGCCGGGATCCTCTTGGAAGGGAAACAATGGGGCGGAGGGCACTGCGGTAGCCGCCGCCGCCGCCGCGCCGCGCCGCGCCGGATCTGCTCGGCCGCCCGGGACCGCCAGCTCTGTCCGCTGCCCACAGCCTAGCAGTCGGGACCGTACTGAGGTAACTTCCATTCCTCAGCTCCCGCCGTGAGGGGCCGGCGGCGGCGGGCTCCGCGGGCGTCCTCCCCGGGCCGGGACTCGGAGTTGGCCCCGGGGAGCCGGACGCCGCCATTCCCGGCCCCTGGAGGAGGGGACGCGGCTGCGGTTCGCGGCTCGGCCCTGGGGGGCGGCTCGGGCACAGTGCGGGGGCTGCCTGTGTGTCCCCGCGCCCGGAGCGTGGGGTCCGCGGGGCGATGGGCGGGCTGGGGGCGCCGCGCGGGGTGCGGGGAGGCCCGGGGGTGGAACCCGGCGACTGCCTCCCCGAGTGAGCCGCGATCCCGGCCAGGCGCGTCTCCCTCGCAAGTTTCGGTCGCGTCTCCCGAGCCCCAGTGGGCAGGACCCGGGCAAACTTCGTGCCTTTAAATGACTGCCTTGATGCCGCGGAACTTTGTTTGGACCAGGCGAGGGGAGGATGGGGCGAATGAGAGATCTGCAAGTCTTGGAAATCCGTGCGCCTTTGCAAAGTTTGCAAAATAGTTTGGCGCTCACAACCCTAGGCTGGTGCGGCATTTGTAATGCGTGAAAACGGTTCCTCGCAGGTGTTTTACTGCTAGAAAATGCGGGACGCGTAGGAATCCATGGGTGCACGTTTCTGTAATTTGAAAATGTTGTCTCTCCCCACCCCCAACCCTTATCCCTTTCTTTCCCAACATTTAATCCGCAGATAGATGCTTTTTAGACCGTAGACTTCAGCATGCCTTCTTTGGACTGGGAAGGCTTGTTGAATTAGGGCCGTACCCAGTGATTGGAAATAGTGCGAGACGAATGGAAAAAAAAAAAAAAAGTGAGGACGCCGTCTTAAGTATGTTGCTTGTTGAAAGAAAATGGTTTCAATCCTGTATTAATCCTTTTATAAAAATAATTACACCTTTGGGATAGATATTTAATATTTCATAGCTTAGAAAAGTTACACAGAACTTTAGAGATCACCCTGGCCAACTCCCTCCTATATTGAGTCTCTGGCAAGTTCCTTCAGGGGGAAGTCAGTGTTCTTTTTTCTTTCCTGAAGTCATCTGAATAAGAATAAATTAGCCAGCAGCAAGTGAACAGTGGTTTATTTGCTTTTATTTCTGGTTCAGTCAGACCCTAAAATTAACAAAAATATTTCCTGGTTTGCCATTCTTTTATAACAACATTTGTAAACATAGTGTAGTTCATTACTTAAAATGGATGTTGATGCCATGTTGTATTCTACGTAGACAATTAAAATGTCCAAATAGAAAAAAAATTATACTAATAAAAGTATAAGTTAACTTTTAAAGGAAGAAATCCTAATTGCAAGTACAGGTATCCTTAGTTAACAGAAATTCCTTTGCTGATTATATATATATAGAGAATTAATGAGTTGTTACAAAGGCACTCAAAGAAACATCCTTTGCCAAATATTAAGAATTTGGGCCCTGAGCCTCAGTTTTGGTGCCTACTTAGTTTTTAGCTATGCAGCCAGACTCTTTGTTGTACTTGTTTCTGGTAAGACTAGTCCATTACCAGTTTTAATAATGTTTTGACATGCAAATAGCTCCTACTGGGGACTGACTTTGGTTAAACAAGCCAGTAAGTGAAAGTGTCAGATTTGGCACTGTTAGGTGATTGATCATCCTCTGGCGTTATAGGGAACCAAGAGAACTACTCACCCCAGCAGATCCAACCTGAGTCTCCAATGCCAAGCAAGGGTTGCCTTGGTCCATCTTTGCCACCATGTGCCCATGTGTGTCAAGTCCTTGTTACATTTTGTAGCCAGCTAAGATGGGTGAAAAAGAGGCCAATGAGTTCAAGCTAGTAGCAAACTGAAAACAAACAAAATTACTCTGATTAGAAAGTGTGAGGAATGTTAATGTAGTAGAATAGGATAGCTTTGGGAATTGCCACTTGAGGTAGCGAGAACGAGACAAGTGATTACAATTCTGGTTTATGTTCACAATTTCACTGTAACGATTTTTTTTAACCATTCTTACTTTGTAACTAGTGCAATGCAGACCTCTAATTACCAGAAAGTTATAGTTTGTTCCTTCAATGTGATTTTTGAAAAGCATAGACTGGCGGGTTGCAGTGGCTCATGCCTGTAATCTCAGCACTTTGGGAGGCCGAGGCAGATGAATCATTTGAGGTCAGGGGTTCAAGACCAGCCTGGCTAACATGCTGAAACCCCCGTTCCTACTAAAAATACAAAGATTAGCTGGGCGGTAGTGGTGCACTGCTGTAATCCCAGCTACCCGGGAGGCTGAGACAGGAGAATCCTTTGAGTCTGGGAGGTAGAGGTTGCAGTGAGCGGAGATCGCTCCACTGCACTCCAACCTGGGCCACAGAGTGAGACTCTGTCTCAAATAAAAAAAGAAAAGAAAAGAAAAGAAAAGCATAGTCCATTGTCAGATATGATTTCATTATATTGAGAGACTCATTTTTCCCTTGAACAGATGACTCCTGTATTTACAGTGGAAGTCACTGTAAGAATAATAATTGAAAAGAAATCCAACTTGTAGCACACGTCCATGTAGTACATGAGATTTAAGCATGGGAATTGGAGCGACAGAGACTTGGATTCTCAACTGGTCTATGCCAGTTTCAGGTCGTATCACCTCATGCAAATGACTCAATTTTTAAAAGCTCATTTCTTTGTAAAATTGGGGAGGATCGTAAATTCAAACGTGTTTATTCAACCATTATTTTTTGAGTGCCTTCTGTGTACCCCAGGACTTTGTGTTAGGTACTTTGTTTTCAACACGTGGGATGAGTCCTTTGATGTGAAGTACAGGGAGCTATAAAACCCATACCTAGGGAACCTAACTTGGTTTTGAGGGAGTCAGGGCAAGTCCCCTGTGGAAGCGACTTGTAAGACCTGAAGATGAGGCAGAGATAGCTGGCTGAAAAAAAGAGGCGGGTGTGTGGGAAACTTTGAGGGTGAGAGAAGAGCTTGTTCACAGTCACTGAAGAGATTGGGAAGGTTAAATAAGCTGCTTCTGTATGAGTTCCGTCCATAGCCCATGAGCAGTCACTGTTGGTTATGTGGAGAAGGCCCTTGGCACTGTTCTTGGATCATCTGAATGAAGCAGCTCAGCTTTGTTCCATAGCCATTAGAGAAGGGAAGTCATTCTACTCGTCTGTATCCATACCAGACCTGGGAGTGACTCTTGACATGCTTTGATGTCCACTTTTATAACTCTGCATTGGATTACTTGTTAGTTTTGATAGCTGTAAGACTGGGATTAAATGTTAAATAAAATATTCTTTGATTTACTTACAGAGATGCTTTGTAATATCAGGATAGTCTTGGTTTCATTTTGGTTCCATTTTCTCTTTGAAGAGCTTGGACCACCTCTCAAAAAACTGTAGTAGCAATCCACCCTAAAATACAAATCTTCAGTAAGTGGCAAGTAGTTTTCGTTTGCCTACAGAAAGATCAGGAGTTACTCTGGAGTTTCATATCTTGTTTTTAAGTGTTCTTAGCTCTAAAGAGATTATTTAGTTACTCAGGGATAGAGGTACACATTGCACCTGTGTCTTGCTGACATTGATATGACTGTAGAAAAACTTAAAATTTTATCCTGGAATTTTCCTTTCATTGAGTCAGCCAGTGAAATTAAAAATTTAAAGTAACATTTTAAATGAACTAAATGAAAGAATATTATTTTTAATCTTCTTAATGTATTAGTTTTGCTGTTAGTAATGTTATGTAGATCAGTGATGGCAAATTATTATTATTATTATTTTTTCCTTTTCCTGTGACAGGGTCTCACCCTGTCACCCAGGTTGGACTGCAGTAGAGCAGTCTCAGCTCACTGCAGCCTTTGCCTTCCAGGCTCAAGCGATTCTCCCACCTCACCCTCCCAGGTAACTGGGACTACAGGCATGTGCCACCATGCCCAGCTAATTTCCGTATTTTTTTGGTAGAGATGAGGTTTCTCCATGTTGCCCAGGCTGGTCTTGAATTCCTAGGCTCAAGTGATCCTCCTGCCTCAGCCTCCCAAAGTGCTGGGATTGCAGTTGTGAGCCACTTTGCCTGGCTAATATTTTATTATAGAATTAATGCAGTATTTATAAGTCAGTTGGCTCTAGGTTTTTTGTTCTTGTTTCTTTTTGTTTGGTTTTTGGACATTTAATGTCCATTGGCATATCTGTGGTAAGATAAGGTGAAATAAGATTTTGAAGTCAGTCACAATGGAAAAAAATTGAATAGATGTGCAGGCTAAAATTTATAAAAGTTAGGTATATATGTATGAGCTAGGTGTTTTTTGTGTATTTCCCTGGTGCCCATATTAAAAAATAATGAATTGGCCTATAATAACTCTTGATTGCAGTAGTGCTTAAAAATTAATTTTGGCCAGGTGTGATAGCTCACTCCTATAAGCCCAGCACTTTGGAGGGCCAGGTGGGTGGATCACATGAGGCCAGGAGTTTGAGGCCAGCCTGGCCAACATGGTGAAACTCCATCTCTACCAGAAATACAAAAATTAGTGGGGCATGGTGGCGTACGCTTGTGGTCCCAGCTACTCGGAGGCTGAGGCACAACAATCACTTGAACCCGAGAGATGGAGGTTGCACTGAGCCGAGATCACACCACTGCACTCCAGCCTGGCGACAGAGTAAAACTCCGTGTCAAAAAAAAAAAAAAGAAAAAATTTCAAAATCTGTCTTCACCTCTTCTATGTTCATTTTTAATTTTTTAGCTTTATTTTGAATTGATTTCTTAAAAATAATTTTTGTTTTTTCATTTTTTAGCTTGGGATTACATATTCTTGTACTATTCCTTTAGTGTTCACTTACATTTTAATATATATTCTTGATTTATCAAAGTATAATATTGAGACTTTCACCCTTTTTCTAGATAATGCAGTAAATAATGCAAGACCTTTAAAAACATTTACATTCAATTTCCTTTCTTATTTCATTATTGCCTTGTTTTAAGATGCATGCATGTTTTAAACCCCACAGATGTATTTCTGTTGTTTTATGCTGTTATTATTTAATTAGACTTAACTGCATTTCATTTTCCTCATTCTTTCTTACATTACCTGACCTTCCATGTGGAATAATTATCTTTCTGCCTAAAGATACCATTTAGTATTTCTTCAGAGTGGATGTAATATTGACAAGTTTTCTAACTTGTTTGTTTAAGAGTATCTTTATTTCATCTACATTCTGGAAAGATATATTTTGCTGGATGTAGAATTCTAGATAAGTCTTCTGGAGAGATTCTTTAATATTTTGGATTGTTTCTATTCAGAAGTCAGCTGCAGTTTATTCCTTCTTTGTTGCTAATTTGTTTCTTTCTCAGGCTGTTTTTATGGTTTTCATTTTGTCTTTGGCTTTGAGATGATTTTCTGTCTCTTTCTGTTTCTATTTTCCTCCTCCTCTCCCTCTTGCACCATTTCTTGTTTGAGATATATGGGGCATTTTGATACCGTGACTTGATGTCTTTCGTCAATTTTGGCAAGTTCTCAGCCACTCTCTCTTCAGATACTGCTTTTCCCTATTCTCTTGCTTAATCTTTCTGGGAGCTCAGTTATACAATGTTAGATTTTCTCCCTGAATCCTCTGTGTATTTTGCCTCTTGTGGTGTTGTTTTCATCTTTTTGTATCTTTTTTGTTTTGAATATTTTCTTCAGGCTACCTTCCAGGACTAAGTTAGTCTTCATTTCTAATCTACTCTTCCCTGGGTTTTAATCTGTATTCCCTGGGTTTTAAATTTTGGTTATTAGATTTTTCATTTTTATTTAGACTTTCAGTTTAGTTATTTTTCAGATATGCTTTGCCACTTTTCTAGTTTCTAGTTCCCTATCAAAAGTTTTAGATTTTGCATATATTTCTGTGGATGCAGTAAGCATAGTAACTATGTCCCAGAGTGCTATAACATTTTTATGGTCTCTTTTATTTCTCAAGGAGTTTCATCTCCTTGTATACCTGCTTATCTTTGATTGTGTGCTGGTCATTGTGTTTGAAAAAGTGTTTCTAGCAGTCATTATAGGTTAGGTAAGGATTTTTTTCATTGCTTTTGCCAGACACTTGGGATCACTTTTATTCTAATAAAAAGTTGAGAGTCTATGCAATAATTGGTTTAGTTTGCTTCTAAGTTTTTCTTTCTCATGGGATTCAGTTTTTTGCTTATTCTGAAGCAGAGATGGCTCCCTTGGTGGATCCTGTACTCTGACATTTTGTCCTCCTAGCCTTGAAGACTGCCAAAGTGTGGTTTAGACTCTTAGGCACCTCTTTGATTAGGCAAACGTTTACCTAAAGAAGCCTCAAGGTTCCTTGCTTTCTATTTCAGATTTCTGTCTTCTCTTCGGATGGTGGCTGGTAATTTCACACTGTCTTGTTAGCTGTTTGATATCCTTCCTCCTTTTTTTAAATAAGGAATACACATATAATGTACACTAATCTTAACTGTATACTCTGAATAATTTTTATAAATGTAGTTGACTGTGTAATCACTCACATAACATACAGTAGTCCTCCTTATCTGCAGTTTCACTTTCCTTGGTTTCAGTTCCTGCAATATAGTATGAGAAGATACTTTGAGAGATGGAGAAGACTACCTTTTATTACAGCATATTATTATAATTATTTTATTAGTTATTATTTATCTCTTAGGTAGAAGGGTCTGATTGTGAAGCAGTACACTAATTTTTAAAGCAGAATTTTAGAATACATTTTCAAAGTAGTGCTGAGATTCTGTTGCTGTAATTGCTGAAGATAAATTTCTGGAATTTTTTTAGAAATTGTTCTTTGGAGATACTGAGTTGTATCCCTTATCAGTTTATATCACATTTTGATCCAGTGTTTTATTATCAGTTTGAATTCTGAGCTCATTCACCAGACTTGCTTGGGAAACATTTATTCTATCACAAAAAATTATTTTCCTCCAAGGTTGATGATTTGCCCTCATTGAGGCTTACCAAAAGAATGCCATCCAAATTCTCCCCTGAAACTGAGGGTTACCTCTGACTACTTCACTGTCAGTAGTCTCTTTGACTTTCTTTTAAGTGATAGTTGGATCTGCCCCATTAAAAAATACATATAACCAACATTTTAGACCAGCTTGTTTTAGCTGGTTTAATGTAATGATTTAGGTTGATCTTCCTTATACCGCTAAGGAAATTAGAACCTGAGTTACCCATTGAATTAAAATTAGTTTTAAGATAATAAATCATACAGTGCTAGAAAGAGAACTTAAAAATTATGTTTCAGTTTTCTTCTTTTATGAGACCAAAAATGGATCAGTACTAACGTGTGAACCAAATAAGATATTTAGTTTACCAGCACACTCTTTTATGCATAATTCCACAGCAACTCTCAGTGGTAGGTAGGCTGAAAATTTTAACTCTCATTTTACACACAAAGAAACTGAGGGTCAGGGAAGTGAAGTGACTTGGTCTGAATTCCTAGAGCTGGTTAATGGCAGAGTTGTAACACATTTGCATTGAGGACTTCCTATATGTTGAGTGATTTCCCTGCAAGGCTTATAGTCCACCATTGTACTGCTGAATTCCAGTTTTATTGACATCCTACAGGAATTTTCCTCTCTTCACCTGTGTGTATTTACACCTCTTGGTCCATAAGTTTTCCGATTTTCACTCAGTACAGGGCCTTTATATAGCCTTGACTGTCACTCTGGTTGCCCTTAGCACTTTTATTCTGAATATGTTCTGTTAGCTGCAGATGGCTGGAACCAAGCTTGTCTTGATTGTTTTATCCCAAGGCCCTTGAGCAGTTTTTGCGTGTTGTGGAGCTGAATTAATATCTATTAAATGAATAGATGAATACATTCTTGTATTTAGAATCCAATTAGATATAGATTTTTGAAGATAGGGCCTGGAATTATTTACTCTTTTCTTTGTATTTTTCATGGTGTCTGCTATAGTGCTTATTGTTACAGTTGGCAGTCTGGAATTTTTAACTGACTTTTAAAATGATGTCGGACTCCTGAACACCAGATATATTGTATCCTTCATTTTAACTTTTATCTATGGAGCACAGGCATTATGTGCAGTTCTGATATGATGTATCAAGTAGATTAGGCACATATACCATGTAAACTAATTATAGGTCATTTTTAAAAGGCCCTGACTCTGTAACTGATAGAAGTAGGGAAGACTTGGAATGGACATTTGTTTTCCTAAATACCTGAAGTTGTCATGTTGACCAGTATAAACCTACTCGGATTTGATAAGTCTGTCTGGAAACCTACCTGTGGAAGGGGAAATTTGACCTCATTCTTATCTCATGCCTCATTAACATACAAGTGTAAAGAAACCGATGAAACCAGATGATTGCTCATTTTGCTCTTAGGCCCATCTCATTCTTTGATCTTATTAGCAGGAAGTACTTTGTTGATTTAGTGAATAGCGTAAACAAACCTCCTTTCTCTCTAGCAATGACAGAAGATTTGCTTTACTTTTGCGCTGAGAAAATACTTAAAGCTGTAGAAATGTGACGTTATGTTTCACGGGGTTGCAGCAAGAGCATTCTTTAGGGAAAGCATAAGAACTGTGAAAGTACAGTGTTGAGACTTTCTCTGTTAGTGAATAATGACTTTAATATTAACTGAAATAATTTCTAATGAGAAGATATGACAGGTTGAGTATCTCTTACCTGAAATGCTTGGGACCAGAAGTGTTTCAGGTTTTAGATTTTTTCAGATTTTGGAATATTTGCATTATACCAGTTGAGCATCCCAAAAATGAAATCCAAAGTGCCCTAATGAGCGTTTCCTTTGAGTGTCACGTCAGTGCTCAAAACGTGTCTGATTTCAGAAAGTTTAGATTTGGCATACTCAACCAGCACCTGGGAGTCTGCCCTGACATATATTTGAACTAATGAACCGTGAATCTCAATGAAGGAAGGAGGGTACTGAAATTACTGTGCTGTACATTCCATGATGCGAGAGACTTGGCTTTGTTCTTGGCAGTGTCTGCGGTGCCTAGTACACTGCCTGGCTCATAATAGCTACTCGGTAAATACTGAATGAATGAATAGTAAGATTTATTATGCATTATACATTATATATTTATTGTAATACATATTATATATTATACATAGTAAATCCTTCCTGTTATCTATGTTATTATCTGCCTGTTTTAAATTTAAAAACAGAACATTAATCATTTAAGTATTGAGTTATAGCCTTTGAGGAAACAAATGTAGCTTGGTTGAGGCATCATTTCTGATGCTTTTTTCTTTCTGACTTGATGAGAAAGTTGCGTTAAATACGTTGCTCGTTGTTTATTCATTCATTGTCATTGAATTTCTTTAAGACATTTTAAATGAGTACATGAGAATCTATTAAATGTGAATTAACAATGTAGTCAATCCCTTGTTATTTGGACGTGTGTGTGTGTGTATATGTATGTATATGTATGTATATATATTGCTATTACAAATAATACATCAATGAAGGACATTTTCTTCTTTTTTTTTCTTTCTTTTTTAGGGGGTAGGACAGTTCACTAAATAGCAACTTAGAAAAACAGGATCTAGGAATTTCTGTGAAAAAATGAGCTGGGATTATACAGCTGTGAAGGTGAGATCAGAAGCTTTAGTGGTCAGACAGCTGAGATAAGACAGCACAAATGATACAACTCTTGGTTAGCCAGCTCCTTCTCCACGTAGATAATGTATAATCATCAGTCTTCACATAAAAGCTATCTTGCAATTTGTGTTGGAATGGCTATCACTTGTGTTTGTCTTTTACTTTTAAGGAACAAATGAACCACTACAACTCTTTTGGCCTCTTAAGCATGGCTTAAAGATTGTAAATGCATTTAACCCCTTTATATATGTGGTTACATATATTAATGTTACTTTTATAATTTCCTTTCTGCATTTCATTGGAAAAGTTTTGGTTTTTCATATTAAAATACTGTAAAATATATTCATACAAAGACTATGTGTAATATGTTACATAAAGACTGACATAATGATGTCCATCCCATCCTCTCCTCAGTTTAAGTGAAAGAACATTCCCAGTACCCTCCTGGATCACCTCTGTCTACCTCCATCCTACCACTGGCTTGAGGAAACCATCGGCATCACTGTGGGCTCTGGCATTCCTTTGCTTTTCTTTATAGTATGTTACATATGTGTATGTCTCTTAACAACGTATTGTTAATTATACATATTTTGGACTGTTATATAAGTGGTATCTTTACGTGTGTGTGTATGTGTGTACAGTATATATAATAAGTATATATCAGTAATACTTGTGATATTTGTTGATGTGCATACCCATAGTTCATTCATTTCACTGCTTCATAGTACTTGATTATATAAACATGATATCATTACTTACCCTTTTGTTGATGGAAATTTCAGTTTCTTTGCTATTATGAATAGCATTGCTGTGAACATTTTTCAGTATATATCTTAGCACACATGAAAGACTTTCTATAGCCACATGTCTCTCTTTTGGTTAGAGTTTGCCTGATAAGCTTTTTTTTTTTCTTTGAGATAGAGTCTTGCTCTGTTGCCCAGGCTGGAGTGCAGTGGTGCGATCTTGGCTTACTGCAGCCTCCACCTCCCAGGCTCAAGCAATTCTCTTGCCTCAGCCTCTCCAGTAGCTGGCATTACAGGCGGCTGCCACCACGCCCAGCTAATTTTTATATTTTTAGTAGAGACAGGGTTTCACCATGTTGGCCAGGCTGGTCTTGAACTCCTGACCTCGTGATCCACCCGCCTCGGCCTCCCAAAGTGCTGGGATTACAGGCGTGAGCCACCGTGCCCAGCCTGATAAACATTTTTAATGCTTATTTCTCACCTTTATGTGTTTTGCTGATTTAGGTGTATTTCTTATGAAATATGGCTAGACTTTTAAAATAGTCTTTTTAACTAGAAAATTTTTAAATTTGAATTTAAAATTACTATCTTTACTGTCTGTATTAGTCATCTTTGGCTGTAATAATGCTGTGTAACGACTGCAAACTTTCAGTGCACAACACCAGACGTTTCTTTCTAGCTCACTGGTCTGCGCTCTCTGTTGAGTTTGGCTGGGTTTGGCTGTAAGATGTGGGTTGGCTTCAGTTACATGTTAGGTTATTTATTCATTGTGGGCCATTGCTACCTGGGGCATACATTTCTTGTTCTGCATGTAGGAGCACAAGGGAAGGCAGGCTGCCTCAGTGCTCCTCAAGCCTCCAGTTAGAACCATTCCAGCAAGTCATATGGCCACGCCCTTAGACTTAGAGTACCTGGAAAATGAGATGAAAGGCCAATTTTTGCAGAAATATCCCAATATAATTTGATGTGAAATTATGGGTTTAAGACATTACTTTTTCCCTGTTGGATGGTGTGAAAAACAGAAAGTAAGGTTTTTCTTCTTTCACCTCTGTATGTTTAGTGCAAAAGTAGCATTTAGGGGAGGAGAAAGGGAGTCTAAACATTTTCTCCTGTGTGCTGCTCAACTACCTTGTTCCATATAACAATTGGTAGACTCCTTACTTTGAAAGTAGGTCGGAGGGGCTGGGCATGGTGCCTCGCGCCTGTAATCCTAGCATTTTGGGAGGCCGAGGTGGGTGGATCACGAGGTCAGGAGATCGAGACCATCCTGGCTAACACCGTGAAATGCTGTCTCTGTGAAAAATACAAAAAATTAGCCGGGCGTGGTGGCAGGTCCCTGTAGTCCCAGCTACTGCACTCCAACCTGGGCGACAGAGCGAGACTACGTCTCAAAAAAAAAAAAAAAAAAAAGTAGGTTGGAGGATCTATATTTTAAAGCTGTGATTAGTGTAAATAAAGAATCCTGAACGCGTGACTTCAGTTATGTCATTTATAAATGTTTCTAAGAACTAATCCATGACATTCCAAAACATGCATTATTTAGTTTTGCAAACTATAAAATTTGTGTACATTTATTACCTCAGATGGTAAGATTATAAGTCTAGTGTTTATAAGTTTTATTATACTGGTGTTTTTGAGGTTACTATTTTTGGTGCTGAGAAAACTCTTGATGTCTTAAGAACTGAAATCCTTGAATAAGTATTTCTTTGGCTCCTTTTGGTTAGAGGCAGGAAGCAGTGTGCTACATCGCACAAGGTGCTTTAATGTTACCATTTAGGAGTTTTAAATTTAAGATTAAAAAATTTTGTATAAACATAAAGAGAAAAGTCCCTGGTCAAAGCGACTAGACTCTACAAGTATAAATTTAAGTGGACTCTTGGGTCATCTGTGAACGTTTAATCCTGCCTTATTTGTAACACGGGACTGTCTTGCCTTGTCAGCAGTCAGCATGCTCCAGGTCCACATGTCCTACCTCAGAGTTTCCTAGGCAGGAAAACAAATCTAAATAGTCAGTTAAGCACCATCAAGAAAGTATATTTCTTGTGAGAAACTTTCATCATGTATTCTAAAACTAGCATGTGGGTTATATGTTTTAGATTTTCCATACAACTTCTCACTTCCTTTGGGATAATTGCATTATCTGGAAATGGAAATCATTTAAGTGGACAGATAAAGAGGAAAGCATGTGGGTTGGGGGTCAGGGTATTACGTGGCAGCACTGTGATTCTATGCCATGCTAATTACAGTGTGCGGGCCATGCTGGGCACGTAAGTGCTGATGCAGTCTGTTTTCATTCTGCAAATGAAATACTTCTCATGTATATTACATGACGCAAGTACAGTATATAGATGTGGCAAGCAGTATTTCTTCAAAAAGTATTTCCCTAACTTTGATTCTAAAGCAGAGGTCTCTAGTAGTAGTATACTGTTTTCTTAATTGATTTAGAAAATAACCATCACCTATTGTGATTGGAAGAAGTAGCTTATTTGTTTATGAAGGAAACTACATGTGAGGTAGTACAGGTGTACATTTTGTGTTGAGTCTGATCTTATCTGTGGAATTTTATATGATAGATTTAGGTAGGCATTTGTGCATCCATGGTTATGTTTAAATATAGCATTAATATTTATACCTATATTAATATTTTAGAAATACAGTAATTAAGAAAGGAAGATTTATAAAGTAAATCTTAGCAAAGGGTTAAGTTTGTATTAATACTAACACAAGTTGATGTTTTATGTTATGCTCTTAAGTGGAAAGGAACAAGTACAAAATTTTATGTGTAGTATCAAGTATATTTTTAAAATACTTAGAAAAAAAATGGCTTGAAAGGAAATATGTCCCAAATGATTGGGTAGATGTAGGGGTTAGGGTAATATGTTATGAGAGAAGTTTACCTTATTGTTATTCTTTTTGTTTTTAAAACAATGAACCCATATTACTTTTATAATGAAGAAAATATTCATTGCTAGAGAAAGTCTATAGCAATAACTTTGCTGATCCTTATTTGAAGTCTTACATTAATCATTTATGTGCAGTCAAAATATACTCAGCAGGGATGATGTGGGCTGTATTTACCCTAGATGGAGTGCCTTCTACCTGTGATTTTCTTAGCTGGGAATGGGGAAGAAATGTTTTTAGTGTTGAAGACGAAGGACACCTGTTAGTAAGTTTCTATGTGGTGATTACTTACTACATATCACTTAAATTTGAAGTAACTTATTCCAAAAGAGGAAAACACGAATTCAACAGGATATTCTAAAAGTTGATTAATAATCTTTTATATTTAATAGGTGATCACAAGAGTTCTTTTTGGAAATAGTAGAATATTTTTGAAACAAAATGATTTTCTTTAAGAAAACTTTATTTTAAATATTGACCTCTAGAAAATACTATTTCTTTCTCTTTGTTTCCTGACTAGGACATGTATTCCTCTGAGAAACCTTGGACAGCAGATTTTGGTTTAATATCTGATTGGGACAACATTCAGACCCATTTCCAGTCATGAGTAAGTGCGCTGCTTCCTTTCCTTCCAGCCATCTCAGGAGCGTTTGCTGTATTGTGCTTAGGAGAAGAAAAACATGTTACTGAATAAATTGGAATTATGTCACTTATTCAGAGTTTGAATGTGGTTCCACCCAGCACTCTGCGCTTGTCTGTGTTAAGACAAGGAGATACTTTCTGATGTTTGATTTATTCTAAAAAGTTTCATGTGATGAGGAAATCTGGTCATTAGCTCTTTGGCTGATTTAGTTCTGTGATCTAAAATTTTCTATTGACTTGCCATTGGAAAACGGTTCTTCAGAAATATGAATAGGGAACATTGCAGTTGACCATAATTAGTAGAGATTTTATTGTGTGAAATTTAATCATTGAGTAACATGGGTTATATTGTATTTAAGGGAAAAAAAACCCCTAACAATCTATCAATGTCTCTGATAGAACAAAGAACCAAGGCTATCCTGGGCTTAACCACATTTGATAATTTTATCTTCTTAGTTGTAAGGGGATAGTATATGTAATATTTTCTCTCTATTCCTATATACTTCTGCTTGTGAACAAGAGAACTGGATTTTACTTTTTTGTGTTAACTGTTTCTTTTTAGAGGGTGGGAAAAGAATTGAGATTTTACCCTAACTGGGATTATATGGAGATTTGAAGTATAGATTTCCTGATTATGGAATCTTTGGGATGCAATGAGCATTTTCTTATTGGAAGATGATATTAGAGTTTAAATGTTTTTCACATAGTATTTGTATTGATTATATTTACCTTAATATGAAATAGGGCAGCTTTTCTCATCATCAGTTCAAATAATTAGGCAGTAGATAAGTGAAAATGACGCTGCTGTTGTAAAATATTGGAGTGCTTCTACTAAGAATAATATTGTAAGGAACGGTCTTTGATTTTTGACTTTTCAGTGGTATACTTTTTCGGTAGTGTACTTTGAAGAAACAAAGTTAGTGGCTAGATGAGTTCAGTACAGATTAAGAAAGAGTTTTTTTTTTTTTTTTTGAGACGGAGTCTCCCTCTGTCGCCCAGGCTGCAGTGCAGTGGCACCATCTCCGCTCACTGCAAGCTCCACCTCCTGGGTTCGCGCCATTCTCCTGCCTCAGCCTCCCGAGTAGCTGGGACTACAGGCGCCCGCCACCAGGCCCAGCTAATTTTTTTTTGTATTTTTAGTAGAGACGGGGTTTCACCGTGTTAGTCAGGATGGTCTCGATCTCCTGACCTTGTGATCCGCCCGCCTCAGCCTCCCAAAATGCTGGGATTACAGGCGTGAGCCACCGCGCCCGGCCAAGAAAGAGCTTTTGTTATTTCAGCTCCAATCATGACATTTTGTGAGAAAGTTTATCTAATGTAAAGTGCTAACTCTAGTGAAGATGGTAATTAGTTCACAAAAATTAAAAGAAATGGCAAGCATTTTAACTTAAAAACGCTTACATTTTTGGAAAGTGAAATAAATTTTCTTCTACTTTGCAATTTTTGGGTTCTGTTAGGATCAGTGTTGCAGATGTAAGTTTTTTTGACGGCAGGTAGCCTGTGCCTTTCATGTTTGAATTTCGGTGTTTGATGGTGTCTTGTATACTGCTTACCCTAGAAAACAAAGATCAAAGTCTTGCGAGGATGAAGGCAGAGGGGAGGAATGGCTTGCCAAGCAACTAATAGTGTTTGAACCACATAACATTTTTCACCTTTAAATTGTAATATTTATATTTCATTTGCAAGATTTTTAACTGGTTCTTTATATCCACTAATCCACTAATTCTTTTTCATGTCCACTTAAAACAATTGGTTCTGTTATTTTATCTCTTTGTGGATCTTTTACATGCTTATTTTAAAGTCTTTTTCAGATCATTTGATAATTTTAAAATTTTGTCTTCAGGGAATTTATGTTTTGATTGTTGATATTTTCATCATGTTCTGTAATTTGCAGGCACATTCTGATGGAAGTTTTTTTGCTCTTATGTCTCTCTCTTTCTTTTTGTGATTTTTGTTTTTTTCATGCTGGTCTAGCAGATTCATATTTGTCTCTGCCTGGCTTTGGAGTTCCCAGATCAGAATCAGGTCTGTGTTAGTGGGTCAGAGCCCTGGCCCCATGGTGACGTTGAGAACATCACAGATTCAGTCACTGAGTCAGCTGGCATTAGGTCAGCAACCTCTTATAAGCTGTAGCCTCAGCACAGTTAGTAGAAGCATTTTCAATCTAGTTTCATAATTAAGGAAAAGTGCCACCCCAGTCTCTGGCTTTAGGCACAGAGCCTGGCTCTTGACCCTGATTCCTAGGGAAAACTTTTATTTACAGTTTTCCCCATAGGACAAAACTTCCTGCTGCTCTGTCCTGCCCTGGGCCCAGAGTCCAGCTGACCTTGTGCCTTCAGTGTGCCTCACCCTTTATGTTCCTGTTAGATGTCTGATCTACAGAGATGTTTGGGGCATAGCTGTGCCATTTTAGTGACTTGTGCTTCTCTTTCACCTGTTATTTCTGTGTGTTTGTGTGAAGAAGGGGAAGCTACAGAGAAAGAACAATGCCATCGGGGACTTAACGCCTTACTTCCCACTTCAGATTCTTTTAAAAAAATCAGCTTCTGAGTAGTCTGCTAGTTCCTAGAGCCACTGCCTGTCACCCACACAGCACTCCAGTTGGGAGGTGAGCCCTGTGCGCTGCTTCTCCATAGCACTCTGCCTGCCTCCTTCTGGGACCCATCAAGCTGTATTCAAATCATCTGCTTATTTGCTTGTATGTTTCTCTAATCTGTGTGCTCCTTGAGGAGAAAAGATGATTTCATTCCTAGAGCCAAACACTGTTCCTGGCACTAAATAGGTGTTAAATAAATATTGCACTACCTTGGGTGTTTGTAAGTAATGTCCTTAGTATGCAGGAGCTATTCTGTGTTTTATTATTATTATTTTTAGGTGAAATGGGAGCTGTTGCCGTGAGAAGAGTGTATGTGTAGAGTGTGGCCCGAGACAAAGCATTCCAGGCTGGCGGAGCAATGTGAGAAAGGTGTGATGTTCTGACTCCACATAGGTGTTGCTAGTGAATTGAACATTCTGGACTCTAGAGATAGGAAGGGGGATTGTAAAGGTGGAGGAGACGAAATTGGGGTCCAGGTCATTTACATTCTAGGAAGTTTGGACTTGATCCTATAGGGCTTAAGGAGCTATTAAAGGATTTCAGTTAGAGAAGCAACTTAATGAGATTTCATTCTAGAAAAAATTACCCTGACAAACAGATATTTTGTTAGATGTCGGTTAAAAAGATTGGTTACACAGGCAGTATTCACCCTTTCTTGCCTTGTTTTCAGTTTTCAGTTCTTTCCAAGCTCCCTCTGAATCAGACTGAGTTACATTTCTTTTTCTTGTCCATTTGATGATTTTCTCTAGCGAAAGAAATTGTTCCTTAGTAGACTACTGTACCAAAGGTTAGGGAGTATTAGAGCGATCTGTCTTGTGCTGCAGTTTCTAGGGGGTTGTAAGTCTTCCAAATGGTCGTGATCAAGTGTGTCAGAGTTCTTGTTTTTGAGAAAAAAAAATTATGGATATGTGGTACAGGCTAAAAAATAGCAATATATGTCACTGAAGTTTAGATAGAATTTCCAAACTTAGATTTGGGTGGGAATGATGGCTTAGCTTTTTTCCCCCCCAATATTTTTCTGGAGATTAAAAGAAAGATTGGATATTTGTATATCTGGTTAGATTTATCTTTGCAGTGTTTCCCAGCCCTTTCCATGTTATCAAACGCTAGAACATGGTCATAGCTGTACATCACGTGGGATAAACTGAAGAAGCTGTTTAGAGCTTAGAGGCACCTGGCTCTAACGTCTCAGCCCAGGCAGCTAGGCGTGGCTCACTGCCATGGCACCCTCTTGGCACAGTAGTTGGAATGCCCCATCTAGAAGCTTTATAATGTTTTTCCGCTTTTATTCTGGTGGATATATAGGCTATCACGTTCTGAGGCTGAGTATCTATTTTGTGGAAAACGTACTGTATGATGCTGTTAGTATGATGTGCATTTCATTGTGGATTGTACTTTATTACAATCCACAAAAAGCCTTTTGATTTTTAGTACATAAATTGTTGTTTTTCTGTATTTGCATATTAACATTTATCACACTTGCCCATTTTGTTTTTCTCAGATGGAACCAAGGATTAAATTAAGTTGTTATACTCAAACTGTGGCTATGATTTAAAAGGAGCTCTCAGATCCATAATATAAATGGTCACAAGAGAAGTTTGTACACAAGGCACAAAATAGTGATTATTTTGGTAGAATATATTTTAAAAAAAACTAAGTGAAAACACCAAAACACAAAAGTAATTACAGTATTACTTAATTTCTTTTTCCAAAGCTTTAAGTAAAAACAAAAACTAAAAAACAAAAAAACACTTACTAGCTTATTTGCTCTGTTTTAAAATTTTAATGTTCTGTATTTTATTTCAGTTTCTTCAGGAAAGTTTTGCTCTGCAACTAATTACGTGATAGATTTCCTAAGAGTTTTTCTCTTCTGGCTGGGTAATCCAGGAGTGAATCTATGACACTGGAGTGTTTGATTCTGCCCTTTGTTCTAAATAATGAAATGAGTTTTTTGAGGTCATTTTTCGATATGAAATGTTTCTCATTCACCTGAGGAAGAATAATGGCAGTGAGTAATTTGGGGTGTAGTGTATTTGTGGTTTTCTAATAGTATAGGAGTAAAGACCTTCATTCACTGGAGCAGGGGACTAAGTGTTCATGCTGAAGTGAAGAACAATTTGTTTTAATATTTGTTAGAGCAGATAATGTTATAAATAAATGAATAGATTACTAAATCTCTCAGTGGTAGTAGAAGGATTCTTCAGAGTCTTACTAAGTAAAAAAGTTGTGCTCCAAGTAACAGAAGACTTCCCATAAGTACTGGCTAAAACTCTCTAGGACAGTAGCCTATCTAGATAGATAAACTGTTTTGTGGAATAGCTGCATGCTTCAGAAGTTGGGTAGAAGTTAAAAGAAAATTTAAGTTGAATTGTCTTTGAAATGCCAGCATGTCTGTTATTTAATGGAATCTTAAATCCCCTTACAAAGTATAACAGGTATCCTTTTGTTATATTAAGACTCATTTATGTTTGATAAATTTAGATTTGGGAATATAAAGTTCTAAATGTTATTCTTAAAATGAATATATAATCAGTGATTCTTAATGGAGGAGAGGAATTTGGAAATGTATGGAGACTTTGTGGCTGACAGTTACTGGGGGACCTGATGGCATCTAGTGGGCAGGGGCCACTGTCAGACCTGTGGCAGCCTTTAGCTGTAGTCAGTGGTGAAGAATGCCAGCAGAAATTGCTTCTCAGAAAATTTGTGTGATTACTTTCTTAGTTTAGTGTACTTCGTTGTTATTAACACTATTTAAAGTGGAATATACTGTGCTTTTAGCTAATTTATCTTCTTTTGACCACTTGCTGTAGAAAAGTGAGTAATTCTGAGGCCGAGTGTGGTGGCTCACGGCTGTAATGCCAATACTTTGGGAGGCTGAGGTGGCCAGATCACCTGAGGTCAGGAGTTCAAGACCAGCCTGGCCAACATGGTGAAACCCCGTCTCTACTAAAAATACTAAAAAATTAGCTGGGCATGGTGGTGGGTGCCGGTAATTTCAGCTACTCAGGAGGCTGAGGCAGGAGAATTGCTTGAACCCAGGAGGTGGAGGTTGCAGTGAGCTGAGATTGAGCCACTGCACTCCAGCCCAGGCGACAGAGTGAGACTGTCTCAAAAATAAAAAGAGTAATTCTTGGTTTGATACTATGGGAAATTAAATATGAATTTAATATAGTCTTATATATTTAAGTTAAAAATTTTTTGGGAGGTGGTTTACATTCTTTTCTTATATATTTTCTTTTGATATTTTTTCAAACTTACAACAAGAAAAGTTGTAAAAATAGTACCCCAAATTTCCATATACCTTTTGGTGAGATTTATCAAATATTTACATTTTGTCCATTTGATTCTCCCTCTCCCTTTCCCTCTCTCACACACACCTCTATCTAGAAAAGAAATTGAAATGTTTAAACAAAACATTTTCTGTGAAAGTCTGTTTTCCTTTTATTTGGTGATTTAATTTTTTGCATAAATGTAAATTACTATAGTAGTATAAGCTTAGTAAAGCTTCTGAATTATTTTTACTAGTTAAATCTTAAAATTTCAAATTATATACCTACTATTATATTTTTATTCTTCAAAAGCTATATTTATCTAGTTTTTATAGACCTGTTATTAAACGTTTTCTTTTAGATCTACAACGTATTGCATAATATAGATAAATTTTATATGTAAATCAACTTTAATGAAATTTTTTTAGTACAACACAAACCAGTGTGCTCCAAATGACTTCTTTATAATAGTTTCAAGAGACTCTCCATTCTTAAGAGAACTATTTCGAATTCCATTCTGAAAGCAGTAAGTTTTCCAGTGGCTGGCCTCTTTATGTTCCCAGAGTCCCAGAGACTTGAGGTGGAACCCTGGCTTTGCTGCTGGTAGCCACGTTATGTATGGCAAGTGGCTTGACTTCTTTAACCCCCTCCCCACACATCCTTTACTCATTCGTAAATGTAGGCACTAGATAGATCATCTGGACGCCTTCTAACTCTTAAAATTTACTGTTAAGTCAGTGAGAAAATTTTCATTTCTAATTTTGTCTTATAGGAGTACATCTATTGGGTAAAACAAGGAATTCCTGTATTAGTTATGAAATATGCTACATTACAGGAAACACAGTTTTCAGGGTTTGGGGGCCTACTGTGTTGCTCAGAGTCTGATTTTCCAAAGTACCATGATTCCAAATGCAGGTGCGTGTTCTCCGCGTCCTTCTGCTTGTTCTCCTGGCAGCCAGAGTTCAGAGGGGAATTATGTTTCAAATTAATCCTCTTAAATATTCGTCTTGTTATCTCTTTCATTAGTTTTAGAAAATAGAGTTTGATTTTTACAGTTTTCTTCTTGAATCTGTGTTATTAGAGTTGATGTACTGGTTGGAAAAAAATCTGTATCTCTTTTACATTAACTTCTCCAAAACTGGATTTCTATATGAAAATATTATGTGTATGATTTTTAGTATTTTTTATTTGTGAAAAGATGTAGTGGAAAGCACCGCTTAGTAACTGAGATTTGTTACATGGTCTGAATAAAATTCCACATAAGTAACATCCAGTTTTTACAATAGTATCTGGACAGCTATATATTTTCATTTTTTTGCATTGAACACAAATAGATGTCTTCTACTAAGGGAATTTGTGGCTATCAGTGTATGTGATGGGTGCCATTGTACAGAAATCTCATTTCCTGTAGTGTGAAATTGATATTAGAAATTTTCAAGCCTCTGTCTTTCTTCCTCAGAATTGATCTAAAATAGTATTTTGGTGTGACTTTTTTTTGGAGATAGGCAGGGTGACTGTGAAAGTAATTCTTTTCAGCTTCTCTTTAAAGCTACGGGTTAGAAAGGTCGGACATAGAGTGAAAATGTCTTCCCTTATCCCAGTCTCCCACTCCTACTTTTAAGCACTGAGCCATAAATTAATTCTTTTTTAAAACTGAAATGCACTGTATGTTTGTATCATGAATGTGGCCCAGAAGTTAGGAGGTCAGGTGAAAATGAAAACTTCTCCTATGGGTTATTCTTATTCATGTTCAGAGATAATGGCCGTTGTGCAGGCAGTTGGTAGTAGAGTGCTGTCTTTTCCCTCTGAATTTAGAAACTGACTTCCCCTGGCATTGCCTTGGTACCCTGGAGCGGCACCGGTTTGATTTTGTTCTCACACATTGGTAGCATTCAGGTGTTAAGCTTTAAACAATAAAATATAAAAAGATTATAGTCAGACACTAATAGATATTCATTAACATTTATATTGTGGGGCATTTGGCGTCACAATGTCTTTTTAAAAATACAGTTGCCTGTTTTAGATGTTAGAAGAGTGGAATAGAAATGGAATTTATAGGATGCCTTAGTAAAGGTTTGAACACTACAGTAAAGCACTGTGTTTGATCTCTTCACTGGTGAACCTAGTTATGTTCTAGTACTTGCAAGGTAAGGGAGAATATATTTGCTTGATTATAACTTGAGAGAAATTTGTAAAAGCTAACATGTATATATGTATTAAGTTTTTATGTAAATTATAATAGTTGGTCTTTGTATTTTCCTTTGGTAACAATTTTATATTATTGTCTTTCTATGATATGTAGATGTAGGTCATGTGTGAAGTGTTCTGGATTAGGGGAGGAGGAACCAGCTATTACCAGTGTTGGAAGAGCATTGCAAACTGTTTACTTTTGACAATTATGGTACAGCAGATATTGAATTTAATTTTCAAACCTGCTTAAATTTGTTGTTTTAACTAATATAACAGAAATTTACATGCTAAGTGGTTAATTCAGACCACTATAATGTGACTAGTAGGATGTATTTTGTTGGCATGCTTTATTATAAAAAACGTTTCTGCTGACAGATGTGACCTAGAAGCTATATAAAGCAGGTTGCCTTACTGCTAAGGGGAAACCTTTACTGCTGTTAGAGTCTCTCTTCTGGATAAGGAAAGGCGCTTCTCCATTGCCATTATCTTATCCGGGTTTCCATACATGGGGGCAATAGGGCCATTGTGGTTTTTAAAATAATCAGTGTTAGTGAGACCTTGTATGGAAACTTTGTACTTTTGGTATATTGTATACATCTATATATGGGGGACTTTGCACAGAACAGGAGAAAAACTCTACTTCTACTATCTGGATATCCAAACTGACTGTTAAAAGGAATTTGGTTCTCACATGATTCCTTAGCAGTATCTCTGTGCTTAAAAATAAAAGCTACTTAAAAATGTTTGATTTGTATTATAAAAATGGAGTTATTACTCTTTTCCCTGACAATGTGATATAAAAGTTGTTAGACACTAGAAATTTTATTCTAACTGAAAAGATAAGCTTTTCTAGCTCAGTGCTGGCTGCATTCTGATGGAATATAACAATGTCTAGATCTACAAAGTTTTCCTTCATTATTTTTTTTCTTTCATTAGTGTGTGTCTCTTCTCAGCAGATGAAATTCTTACATCTACTCCTTGCCAACCAGTCCAACTTTATTTTTTCAGTGGGATCAATTATTTATTTTAAAATATTATTTCTGAAAATCTATTTTTAAAATATCACTGATTTATTTTTGAACAATTTGAGAGTAGGTTGCATGTATCATGCTCCTTTTCCCATATGTACCTCAGTGTATGGTTCCGAAAAACAACGCCATTCTTTTGCATAACCACGGTAAAATAATCACATAGATAGATTAGACTTATCTAATATATGATCCTTATTCCAGTGTTGATAGTTTCCCCAATGATGTGCTTTACAGCATTTTGCTCCTCCAGTACAGGATTCAGCTGAGTGTTATTCACACATTGCCTTTTGTCATCCAGTCTCTTTACTCTCCTCCAATCTGGAATAGTTCCTCAGATTTTCTTTACCTTTTGTGATATTGATGTTTTTGAAGACAACAGACCAGCTGTTTTATAGACTATTCCTCAGATGATGGATGATGGAGGGTTCCTGTAATGGGATCTGACCTAACAGGTGTGACTGGTTAGGGGACATTCTGTCAGGAAGCCTGCCTTCAAGAGAAAGGAAGACTGCCTGGTGATCTCTAGATTTCCTTCACGTTTAGCTGTTTAGTAGAAAATTCCCCATTTCTACTTGAATTGAAATAGGATTCAAATCTCTTGCATAAGTACAGGATTTATTGTTCTGCTTTACTAGTTTCTATTTTACTTTTATTACAAAGTCTTGAGAAAAAATTGACAATGAAATATTTTCTAGAATATGAGATGGCGTTGAAATGAGACGGCTTTTGGCTTTTATCGAGAGATCCCTTTTAGTAGAATTCCTGTTCTGAATTATCTTGATAAAAATCTCAAGATGCTACTGAACAAATGCTATGAAGGTATAAAGTATAGCAGTATTGAATCGAATTATTTTATAATAATAAAACAGCTATAGCTATTTGTACATAAATTGAGATTGCTTCACTAAAGATTAGCTGTTCTCATAACCTGGTGCCTCTTTGTCCTGATACATTTTCTTTAGCCAAAAATAGAATAAATGGACATTTTAAGACTCTGATTCTGATTAGGCTGTAGAGATTTATGGGTCATATTAGATTTTAATATGAAATGTCAGGATACTTATCATCTTATAGTATGACTGTTAAAAGTTTAATAATTGCAAGGGATAGTGAAAGCTAGAAGATTAACTTGGAATATTGCAAAGGATAGGAAATTCAAATTCAAAGTTAGACAACTTTGAGACACATGATACTATAAATTAATTTCTTAAAATATTTTAGGGGTCATGGTGTTTGAATCTTCGATTTTAAAACAAGTTTTAAGGGAGAGAATTGTAATTTTGAATAAATAATAATTGTTTTAATTTTAGTATAAACAGATACTTAATGAGCCCCTACATATGTACTGTTTCTGTGGTGGTCTTAGATGATACAGCCAAGAACAAGACAGACATGACCCTTGGCCTTGTAGATCATGGAACTGGTGGGAAAGCCAGACATTGAGCCAGTAGTACGGTCTTAGTACCAAAAGGGACATCCAGGGAGTCCTTGCTCCTGCAGGAGCAAGGGAATCTGTCCTCACAGGGAGGTTGGGAGGACCACTTTAAGGAAACCTTCCAGCTGAGACCTAGTGAAGAGGAAGAGGAGAGTGTTCTAAACAGAAGGAACAACGTATGTGAAGACCCAGCATTGAGAGATCGAGACTGACATTAAGAAATTAGGGAAAGCTTGGTATTGGGAGAATAGGTGGGTTAGAGAAGATTTTAAGTTTAGTTTAGGCAAGTACTCCCCTCTTGCCTCTATTTATACTTTTATCTAATTTCATTTAAACTAATCGATTTTCTTCATTTTCCACAACCCCCTTTTCTTGTTGTTAACCACAACATTAAAATAAATATATTTTGAAAATGGGGGAAAAATATTACTGGTAACCTCACTATGTTAAAGAAGCCATTTACATTTCTGCCTATGATCTTCTAGAATTGTTTAGATACTATATATTTTTATATAATCACATTAATAGTGTATATGCAATTTTATGTTTGGATTTCTAACATTAATTGTATTTAAAACAGATTTCAGTAATTGTTTTCATGGTTAGAATTCACAATTGTGTTCCTTAAAGGTAATGACTCATCATAACTTACTTAACCATTTCCTTTTTTTTTTTTTTTGGTCATTTAAGATGGCTCAGTTTTTTTTTGGTCATTTAAGATGGCTCAGTTTTTTTGGTCATTTAAGATGGCTCAGTTTTTTCATTAAACTGGAATTCCATAGACTAGATTTATAATGTTGAGCTTTTTATGCCTAATTATTTTGCCTTTCTGGAAAAGATTGCACCCATTTACATTTGCTCTGGTAATTGTGTACAAGGATATCAGTTTCACCATCACTAGCCTAGTAGGCTCAAAATGACATCATATAGTTGCTATCTGTTGTATTATTTGATTTCTAGACAGGATAACTTAAAAAATTATGGTAAAGTACACAGACCATTTACCATCTTAGCCATTTTTTAAGTGTGTAGTTCAGTAGTGTTAAGTACATTAATATTGTTGTGCAACCTTAATCTCTTCACCTCTTTTCATTTTGAAAAACTGGAGGCTCTGTACCCATTAAACACTAATGCTCTGTTTCTTCCTCTTCCCGGCCTCTGACCTCTAGGTACCTCATGTAAGTGGAATCATTCAGTATTTGTATTTTTGTAACTGGTTTAACTCAGCACAATGTATTTAAGGTCCATCCATATTGTAGCATGGGTCAGAATCACCTTCCTTTTTAAGGCTGAATAATATTCCCTTGTATATATAGACCATATTTTGTTTATCCATTCTTCTGTCAGTGGACACTTGGGTTGCTTCCACCTTTTTAAATTTTTATTCAATTTAATTTAATTTATTTATTTTTGAGATGGAGTCTCACTCTGTTTCCCAGGCTGGAGTGCAGTGTCCTTGATCACGGCTCACTGAAAGCTCCGCATCCCGGGTTCGCGCCATTCCCGTTCCTCAGCCTCCCGAGTAGCTGGGAGTACAGGTGCCCGCCACCACGCCCAGCTAATTTTTTGTATTTTTAGTAGACACGGGGTTTCACTGTGTTAGCCAGGATGGTCTCAATCTCCTGACCTCGTGCTTCCACCTTTTGGCTGTTGCGAATTATGCTGCTGTGAACCATGGGTGTACAAATACATCTTTGGAACCCTGCTTTCAATTCTTCTGGGTCTGTACCAAGAAGTGGAATTGCTGGATCATACTGTAATTCTTTTTTTTAATTTTGCAAGGAACTGCCATACTGTTTTCCATAGTGGTTGCACCGGCTTACATTGCTCAAGGATTCCATTTTCTCCATATCCTCCTAGCCCTTATTATTTTCTGTTTCGTTGGTAGTAGCCATCCTAGTGAGGTGCTATTTCCTTGTTAGACAAGATAACTTTTTCATGGACTCACTGTTTACATTTTCTCTTGCATCATATCATTCTAAAACAGTCTTTTCTCCCAAAATGATTATGGAAAAATCACAGATTTTAACTTTGAATGCTCCTTTTGCACCTTCCAAAAATTTATTATGAAGCAGTGTAGCTTTTATATATTTATTGGAGTTTCATATGGTTTTTTGTTTGTTTCTTTGTTTTTTTGAGACAGGGGTCTTGCTCTGTCAACTAGGCTGGAGTGCAGTGGCATGATCTCGGCTCACTACAGTCTCTGCCTCCCTGGCTCAAGTGATTCTCCCACCTCAGCCTCTCATGTAGCTGGGACTACAGGTGTGCTCCACCACGCCTGGCCAATTTTTGTATTTTTCTGTAGAGATGGGGTTTTGCCATGTTGACCAGGCTGGTTTTGAACTCCTGGGCTCGAGTGATCTGCCTGCCTCGGCCTCCCAGAATGCTGGGATTACAGTTTGTGAGCTACTGTGCCCAGCCTCATATAGTTTTATTTTGAGACATGTACCATTTTGTGATGGTCAGAGGAGAGATAATGCATAGTATACCGAAAAGGCAGAAGTAGTAAAAGGTTTCAGAAAGGGGGGAAGAGTGGAGAATAGTAAGTACCAAAGATGAGTTTGGCCTAAGGTACTATTCTTTCAGGGACACTGTTGGCAGTCTTCCATCACTGTTGTAATTAATGTGTTATGGTGATTACAGATTTCATACTGGGGGAATCTCTACAAAAATCTCTCTGAATGTTAGAGGGACGTCTGTGTTTATATACCCAAGTGCTTTTGTGAATTCTTTGGCAATATGTTTGTCTTTATGTGTTTTATGTGTATGTGCACTTATGAACCTTTTATCTTAAATGTGATGTTACGTTGAATTAACATTTATTCCAAGGCTATACACACAGAGCTAAATGCTTTGGTTTGGGAACAGGGTCTTGCTCTGTCACCCAGGCTGGAGTGCAGTAGTGTAGTCTTGGCTCACTGAAATTCTTCCTGGGCTCAAGTGATGATTCTCCCACCTCAGCCTCCTGAATAGCTGGGACTACAGGCACACGCCACCACACCCAGCTAATTTTGTGTTAAATGCCTTTTTTTCCTTTTCTTTTTTTGAGACAGAGTCTCGCTGTGTCGCCCAGGCTGGAGTGCAGTGACGTGATCTCGCCTCACTGCAACCTCTGACTCCTGGGTTCAAGCGATTCTCCTGCCTCAGCCTCTGAAGTAGCCGGGACCACAGGCACCCTCCACCACACTTGGCTGATTTTTGTATTTTTAGTAGTTTTCAGGGTTTTGCCACGTTGGCCAGGCTGGTCTTGAGCTCCTGACCTCAGGTGATCTGTCCGCCTCAGCCTCCCAAAGTACTGGGATTACAGGCATGAGTCACTGTGCCTGGCCAATAACGAATTTTTTAAAAACTAATAATGTTATTTGATAGCTTTGTTGGAATCTAGAGTAGGTCCAGGTTGGTTGAATGCTCTGTTTTCTTGAATTTTTGATTTTGAAAATGAAGTCATATTTAAATTTCCTTATTATGACTAAATCTCTTTTCTTCCATATTTGTGTGTCCATTTGCATGTGGCTTTGCAAAGTTAAAAGAGAAGTCAGTTCTACACAATGGGAGAGACTTCCTTAAAAAATTGAAAATGTAGTAGCCGGGCGCGGTGGCTCACGCCTGTAATCCCAGCACTTTGGGAGGCTGAGGTGGGTGGATCCTGAGGTCAGGAGATTGAGACCATCCTGGCTAACACGGTGAAACCCCGTCCCTACTAAAAATACAAAAAAAAATTTAGCCGGCCACAGTGGCGGGCTCTTGTAGTCCCAGCTACTCGGGAGACTGAGGCGGAGAATGGCGTGAACCCGGGAGGCGGAGCTTGCAGTGAGCAGAGATGGTGCCACTGCACTCCAGCCTGGGCGACAGAGCGAGACTCCGTCTCAGGGAAAAAAAAAAAAAAAAAATTGAAAACATAATAATATGTAAATTAGAGTATGTTCAGTTATAGTATATTATGTACAGCTTTTAATTCACACTCTTTTTCCATGTAAGGACACAACTCTCCTGTCATCCTTTATTTGCAAGAATCATCTCAATTGTAATTTAATCATTAATTTTGTAATTATTTATTTAATGCTGGTTTATCTTTGTAGAATGGAAGGAGGTTGATTACCCCTGTAAAACAGCAATTCGCATGGTACCTCTTACATACTAGATACATAAGAAATCTTATATGAATGAACAGGATTTTATTGCCTTTAGAATACACTCTGTACAGTCAGTAGATTAAGAATTTCTCATTGTTGTGAAGATAAATTGGAATAATATATTTTTATTTCCCGTGTTTGTGAAGCTTTGTATGTGTTTATGATAGTGTCCACTGAGCTACAGAGTTGAGAAGCTTCTTGCCTGCTCTTTATAAGCAAAATGAATTATCATTTGATAAAATATTTTCAAAGACTGATTTTCAAAGAATTGCTAACTTAATTCTGTTAATACAAATACTTCTGTTCATAAACAATTACTATCATATAATCTGCTTTGAAATTATATGAGAGAAGGATAATGTTGTCATCCATAAACACATATTCTGTGGCTCTTTCCACATCTGACAATTTCAAGTTGTCAATGAATTTTTATTTTTTGTAGTAATGTGCTGTAATTTATATTGTAGAAGTTTGTAGAGGTTGATTTTCTACATTCTAGAATGAAGTGACTATATTTTTCCTCCTTTAAAACTTAAGTAGAGGCTGGGCACCGTGGCTCACGCCTGTAATTCCAGTAATTTGGGAGACTGAGGCGGGCGGATCACCTGAGGTCCAGAGTTCGAGACTAACCTGGCCAACATGGCAAAACCCTGTCTCTACTAAAAATAAAAAAATTGGCTGGGCGTGGTTGCTTACGCCTGTAATCCCAGCACTTTGGGAGGCCCAGTTGGGCAGATCGCCTGAGGTCAGGAGTTTGACACCAGCCTGCCCAACATGGCGAAACCCCGTCTCTACTAAAAATACAAAAAGTTAGCCAGGTGCGGTGGCAGGCACCTGTAATTCCAGCTACTCGGGAGGCTGTGGCAGGAGAATCGCTTGAAGCCGGGAGGTGGAGGTTGCAGTGAGCCGAGATCACGCCACAGCACTCCAGCCTGGGAGACAAGAGCGAAACTCCGTCTCAAAAACAACAACAACCACCACCACCACCACCGCCACCAAAAATTAGCCCGGCGTGGTGGTGGGCACCTGTAATTCCAGCTACTGGGGAGGCTGAGGCAGGGAGAATCATGTGAACCTGGGAAGCAAAGGTTGCATGAGCTGAGATCGAGCCACCACACTCCAGCCTGGGCGACAGAATGAGACTCCGTCTCAAAAACAAGCAAACAAACAAAAACCAAGCTTAAGTAGAATGACAAAGAAATGAAGGAAATGAAGTCTATTAACTGATTTCTTAACCCAAAAAAGAGAGAAGAGTTAGAAATGGTTTATAGTTTAATATCCTACAGTCTCTTTATATTTTCAGGCCAGTGGACATCTTGAATATTTACAGATTATGTTTGTCACAATAAAATCATCTCTCACATTTTTTTCATCTCATTTATCTACATGTTCTGAAAAGGATGACAGTAGTTCAATTCTGAAATGTATTTCCAGGAAAGCCAAAAAAGTTTTCTGAAAAGTGGGTTAAAAAAAGTCTGAATCATTGCCAAGAATGAAAAGATGCTGGGTTGTTATTCGTATGATCAAAAGAATTTGTAGGCTTAGAGCAGAGTCCAAATATTCTTGTCTGTGTTTTTTGCATAAAAGTGATGTTGATGACACATATGAAAGTGTGAAAACACGTTAGTTCCAAAAGAATATGCATAATAGTACCTCACTTTTGTAAAATCAGTAACAAAAAGTACAAAGTAAGTCTAAAAGATTGTCAGTAGTGCTTATCTCTGTATGTGGGACCTAAGACAGATTTTTATTTTCTTTTGGCTTAGTGTTAGATTCTTATTTTTCTATAGTGAACATTCATTATTATTATAATAATAAGAAAAACTATTAGAGATGTGTATTGACAAAAAGAAGAAAATAGAGACCTATTAGTTTGTAATTCTTTAAGAGTCTAGGGTGTTGGTTTGAATTACTTATAACATTATTTGCTCTGAATAATAGTATAATTTTGCTTTAGAATTATACCAGTACTCTTGTACTTTTTATATTTAGGGCCAAACAAGATTTTGATATTTTTCCTTTGTGTGCCTCCCCCATCCATCCATCCATCCATCCATCCATCCATCCATCCATCATCTATCCGTTCGTCATTCATCCATTCATTCCTCCATCAATCCATCCATCCAACGAGTGAAATCATGATATTTTATACCTTTCATGTTTACATAGTCATTTATAGTTAGCTTTTCCTATGTCATTCTTCTAGAATGGTGGTTCTGAACCATGGCTGAAGGTTAGGATCATTTAGGGGAGCTTTTAAACTTTGTGGTGCCCAGGCTGCACCCTAGGACAATGAAGTCACAGTCCCTGTGGATGGGTTCAGCCATCAGTCCTTTGAAACTCCCCAGGTGATTTCACTGCAGATTGACAATCACTTGTCTAGAATGCAATTTTTTTAATGCCGTCTAGTATTCCATGGTGTACACTCACTGAAACTTTATTAAGTTCTTGTTGTCGGACATTTCGATTATTTCCCATTTTTTTTGCAATTATAAATAATACACATTGCAAACATCCTTGTAGCTAAATTTGTGTGCATGACTATATTTGTTAATATAAAATTACTGTCATAATATTACTGTTCAGATAGTATGCAAAAGGCTAAGGCTTTTGATTCTTTCTGCCAAAATGGAGATCATGATTTTGATTTATCTAATTAGGAAATTTTTAGAAATTATATTGTTTAATTATTGATATACCCAAATCTTTATTAAATAACAACTAATGAGTCTAAAGCTATAATAGGAAAGCTTCAGATGTTACTCAGGACAAGGTCACCATCCATGAGGGACATGGTCTGGGGCAGGGTTTGTCAACTCATCACTATTGACTTTTGGGGCTAGATAATTCTCGTGGAGGCTGTTACGTAAATTGTAGGATGTTAACCGGCATCTTTGGGTCTATGCACTAGATGCCATAGTACCCCACCTCCTGTTGTGACTATCAAAAGTGTCTTTAGACGTTGCTGCCCCCCCCCCGCCACTCTCCACTGGTGGTTTGTAATCTGCAAACTACAGCCTATGGGTCATATTTGGACGCACATTCATGTGTGTATTGTCTGTGTATTGTACAATAGAGTTGAGTAGTTACAACAGTGACCACATGGCTCACAAAATAGAAAACATTTACTATCTAGCTTTTATAGAAAATGTTTGCAGACTGTAGATCTAGTCTATCTCCCCCATGAGGGACATGGTCTGGGGCAGGAAAATAACTTGTGAATAGCTAAAATTCACTGGGATAAGCGTTCTGATAGATTTAGGTATGTATAGGGTGTTGTAGGTATGGGGAGAGAGGGAACAGCTAATTAATGCCCTGATAAGATTGGGAAGACCTCTTTAAGGAGATAACAAAAATTAGGTCTTGAAAATCTGAGTAGAGAAAATGGGGAAGTTCCTGTAGGCAGGGTGCATGGAATATACAAAGGCAATGGTGTTGTATTCAGGGAATGGAGGAAAGTGTCATGTGCGCACTGCATGTAATTGAAGTAGTACTGGCAAGAAACTTCAGGAATCGTGTCTGCAGTGATAGATGGGGACTATCTTATTAATGAGGCCACACTCTATGCTAAGGAATTTAAACTTATCTGTGTGCAAATGGAAAGCCATTAATGTTTTTAGACAGGGAAGTGATTATCAATTTGTGGTTTGAAAGATTTTTCCATATGGTATTCTGATGTTACATTGCCTGGTTCCTGATTCTGTATTGCAACCTGCCCTGTCAACTCAAAATTGGTTTTGGTGCTACTTTGCCACTTAGCACATTCTTCTTGGTTATGAGTGTCTTAAGTCTCTAATTCCCAGTGCCTACCTAGCACATAGTAAATGCTCAATGAATGCTTGTTGAATGAATGTAAGTATTACTTACAGGATCTTCAAACTTTTTTTCCCCCTGCATCCAGTGTTGTGCTGGTAAATGTTTAACAACCAGCTACTGGGGAGTGTGGGAGGGGGAAAACCCCGATTGTAGTGTTTGCTAATTTCTGTGGTATAAAAACACCCACCACAGTCAATTTTAAAACTTCAAGCTACCAGCAAGCTGATATAAACGAGATGTGGCACATCACTGCATGTACCTAGCAAGTACCTAGTAAAATGACATAAACTGATCCCTCAGGTTTTTAAGTTGAAATAGAAAGGTTTTTATTGTAGCTTTTAAATTCTGTAGTTATAAAGGATGATATTTTCATATATTGTATTGACATTTAAAAATAACATTCTCAAATCACTGTTCTAAATCAGGAATGGAAGGGGATTTCCCTAACCTGATGAAGGGTGTCTATATCTGAATTCTTTAAAAATTTTAAAAAATAATTTTGATTTATTTTTTTTAGAGATAGAGTCTCACTCTGTTGCCCAGGCTAGAGGTGGAGTGCAGTGGTGCAATCATAGCTCATTGCAGCCTCAAACTCCTGGGCTCAAGGGATCCTTCCGCCTTTGCCTCTTGAGTAGCCTGATAGAGTATCTATAAAAGGCTTAAAGCAAGCATCATCTTAAATTGGAAAATGTTGAAAGCATCCCTTTAAAATTAAAAAAGTAGAAAAGTATGCCGGTTAGAACCACTTCTATTAAAGATTGTATTGATGGTCTTAGCCAGTGCAGTAAAACAAGAAAAATGGATTAGAAGTATAAGGATTGGAAGGAGGAAATGAATTGTTCATAAATTACAGATGAGGTTGGGTGTGGTGGCTCATGCTTATAATCCCAGCTCTTTGGGAGGCTGAGGCGGGCGGATTGCTTGAGCTCAGGAGTTCCAGACCAGCCTCGGCAACATAGTGAAACCCTGTCTCCATAAAGAATATAAAAAATTAGCTATGCATGGTGGCACACCCTGAGTAGCTGGTGGTCCCAGCTACTTGGGAGGCTGAGGTGGGAGGATCACTTGAGCCTGGGAGGCAGAGGTTGCAGTGAGGATTGTGCCACGGCACTCCAGCCTGAACGACAGAGTGAGACTCTGTCTCAGAAAAAGAAAATAACATCACCTGTATAATAACATCACCTGTATTTTTTTTTCTTTTATTAGGTAGAGAAAACCAGAAGAATTTACACATAAATTGTTAGAAATAAGGAAGATGTTAACAATGTAGCTACAGGTACTAAGGTACAAGGCCAGGCACAGTGGCTCACGCCTGTAATCTCAGCACTTTGGCCTGGTGGCTCACACCTGTAATCCCAGTACTTTGGGGGGCCGAGGCAGGCGGGTCACCTGAGGTCAGGAGTTCGAGACCAGCTTGGCCAACCAACATGGTGAAACCCTGTCTTTACTAAAAATACAAAGATAGGTGTGGTGGCAAGGCACCTGTAATCCCAGCTACTCGGGAGGCTGAAGCAGGAGAATTGCTTGAATCTGGGAGGCGGAGGTTGCAGTGAGCCGAGATTGCGCCATTGCACTCCGGCTTGGCTGACAGAGCGAGACTCTGTCCTCCCCCAAAACAAACAAACAAAAAAACAAACAACTAATATACAGAAGTTAGTTGCATGCTTATGTATCAGCAGTGAAAAGGCAATTAAGAGACTCCGTTTTCAATAGTATCAGAAAAAATAGAAATAAATCTAATGAAAGATATGTAAGAATTCTAGGCTGGGCGTGGTGGCTCACACCTGTAATCCCAGCACTTTGGGAGGGCGAGGTGGGTGGATCACGAGGTCAGGAGATCGAGACCATCCTGGCTAACATGGTGAAACCCCATTCTATTAAAAATACAAAAAAATTAGCCTGGCATCTGGCCTGGTGGCAGGCGCCTGTAGTCCCAGCTACTCTGGAGGCTGAGGCAGGAGAATGGCATGAACTCAGGAGACGGAGCTTGCAGTGAGCTGAGATCGCACCACTGTACTCCAGCCTGGGTGACAGAGCCAGACTCCATCGAAAAAAAAAAAAAAAAGAATTCTAAAGGAAAATTATATATTTTTAAAAAAGGATTTTAGGAGGACCTAGAAATAGAGAAATATACCATGTTTTTTGTACAGGAAAACTTTGTATCTGAAAAATATCATTTCTACCTAGTTGGCATATAGACCAATGAAATTCAAATTAAATCACAATCAGGCTTACCAGGGAACTTATTAGGTGATTTTAAATTTTATATGGAAAGGGTGGAAAGATAAAGAGCCAAAAGTAGCTAGGACATTTCTGAATAATATCAGAGAGGGAGGATTTTTTTCTATTAGATATCAGGACTTATTATGAAGTTACAGTCAATTTAACCAATGGGATGTAGCCCTTGTGTTATTCTGTTTGGGCTGTTCTAACAAAATATCATAAGCTGGATAGCTTACAAACAATAGAAGTTTATTTCTTACAGTTCTGGAGGCTGGGAAGTCCAAGATCAAGGCACTGGCAGATTTAATGTCTGTTAGGGGCCTGCTTTCTGGTTCATAGATGGCGCCTTCTAGCTTCTCCTCACGTCGTGGAAAGGCACGGCAGCTCTCTGGGATTACCTCTTGTAAGGGCACTAAGCCCATTAATGAAAGCTCTGCTCCTGTGATTTAATCAACTCTCAAAGGTCCTGCTTCATGATACCATCACCTTGGGGGTTAGGTTTAACACAGGAATTTTGGGGGAACTTAGACATTCAGATCACGGCATGGAGGGAATTGACCAGTGGGATAAAATACTGAAGTGAGAAGATCCACCTATGTTGTCCCACTGCTCCACCATGCCTCTTCTGGGTACACTCCAGAGAGAGTGAGTCAGGATCTAATTTTTTATTTTGAAATAATTTCTGACTTAGGAAAATGTTGCAAGAATAGCATAGACAATTCTCATATTCTTTTACCTGGATTTCCCCAGCGTTAACATTTTATGACATTTGTTTGCTCATCCTGTGTTAATATTATTGCTTTTTTTTTTTTTCCTGAAGTGTTAGAGAGTGAGTTGAAGTATTTACCCGTAACTATTTTGAAGTATATATCCTGAAATCCAAGATGTTCTGTTACATAACTACAGTGCAGTGGTCATAGTTAGGAAATTAACTGATGAATCTATAGACTATATTCAAATTTCACCTCTTCTCCCAAAATGTCCCGTATTTCCCCTCACCCTTTTTGGCCTACTATCTAATCTGGGATCCTGTTTTGCATTTTGTTATCCTGACTCGATTAATCTGTAACACTTTCTCAGTCTGTCTTTGTCTTCTATGACTTTGGCATTTTAAAGAGTTCAGCTCAGTTACATACATCAGAGTATGTGATCAGATATTCTTACTGATGCAATGTGTGATGAAAAATGAGAGAAACAAGAAAAAGCTATTGATTGCTTAGCAGAAGCTAAGCATTGACAGTAGTGAACCAATGTGTTCAAAGTGATTGCTATGTGATTTTCATTTTCAAAACCAGTGATAATACCAGTGAGATAAGGAAGATGATGATTGAAATTTATGAGACATGAATTTAGATACTCCTCTCTTCCCTGGCCAGGTATGGAGGAAATAGTTGACTGAGAGGTTAATGTCCTGCTTATCTCCTTCCTTGCAGAAAGAGAAAGACTGGGAGAGAGGAAAGCTAATGGAAAGTTACCTGTCAAAACAGTACCTTCCAAAGATCTTCTCTCCAGAAGAGAGGAAGTAATTTCTCAGGAGCTGGAAACATGATTGGAAAACAAAGGCAGTAGATACTTAACACTTATTACGTGTCCCAAACTGCCCTAGGAAGTGGGATGAGGCACAGAGAGAATTGGGGAAACTTGAATTGAGGAGTTAGATTTCTACTTTTATTTGTTTAAATTTACATCTACAGAAGGATTCAAGATCACAGTTTTGACTTGAGGTTTAAAACTTAGTCTTTGACCCATCTGAACTCTTACTTTGATTTAGTTTGTGAGTACGAACATATTCTTTAAAGATAATAGGGAATTAGGAGAGTGGTCCTCTTTTGTCCTCTCTTTCCAAGTATTTTCTCACTGTCATGGCTTGGAGCACTGATTTCTGAACCTAACACCCATATGGAGCATACATTATGGGTGGTATATATGTACATGGTGTAGCACGTCGTGTCTGAAGAGCTGAAAACTTCACCTTGAATTTTAAAACTAGACATTTTTACAGACGGTGCTTGCTGGAGAGAAAGCAGAAGGCTGATTTTTGGATCGGTTTACTTGTAACCTTGGTTGATTCACTGTGCTCAGTTGTCCAGCTGAAAAATGGGAAAATAACAAGCCTTTAACTGTCTGAAGGCAAAGGAACTGCCTCTGATTTGCTCTGGGATCTAATATTTTATGATATGTTAAAAATGTCAAAATAATTCATGGGAAGGAAAGAAAAATAGGAGAGGAAAATTGGCAGTACAGTAAGAGGAACAAATTGCTGGTGGAGAATCAGTTTAATAAACATAGCATTTAGCCATGTTCACCTGAGTGTCATTTTTCTCTTTTAGTTAACTCTGTAGGTTTACTTTGAGAAGGGCTGCTATGGGATAAATAGAACATATAACAAATATATTAAATATTAATTCAGCATTTGTTACAACTTGGCTGTTAAACATCATATGGAAGGAGCAGTGGTTATACTTGTTTTGAAATTATCTGGTCCATGCCGCTGGATGTTGAGACCATTGAATTTACAGACTCCTATGGGAATTTCTAGTGTGCATGTGAATTTAGACTTCTATTCATGGACTGGGATGTCAGAGGTGTATATGTGAGGAGGAGGACAAGGAATTTATAGGATATTTTTGAGGCACCATATCTTTTATGCAAATCTGGGAGCTTAGAGTTAGCAAGATAGATTTTATTTTTATCCACATTTTATTTTCCGTTTCAAATACAAGGTTTTTGAGAAATTGGAAAAAAGTATTAAGGCTTTCGACAGTGCAGGGTATTTTGGTTGACTACTTAAAAACTTGCACATAGCATCTGTGATGCACTGTGAAAATTTATAGCAGAGCACTTTATTTTTTCTGTCATGGCTTTTGTGAGAAAATGTTTTCACTTTGCTTAGTGATTTACAGAAGATTACCCACATTTTGTTTTGTTTTGTTTATAACTAGTTAAGGCTGTGCATAGTAATACATTTTGGACTTTGAGGATGGGGCTTTCACACGTGCTGAAATCACTTTGAATCCATCATTTCAAGAAGATACAGCCTATCCTTTCGTTGTTTCTTATTAACTGCTTCAGAGCCTTCATGGATAGCTAGGCAAAGCATTCATTTCTCTGAAGTTGAACTGTGTTCGTGCTTGAGCTTTCTGAAAGCAGAAATGAGCTTCTGGTGATGAAACCTGTTGGATTTCTAGAGGAAGCAGCTGGAGTCTTTGGCTTGTTAACTAGCAATGATTCAAGTCTTGCAGATTGTAAAGGAGCTGGTGACACCATCAAGGCAAAAAGCAGCCACAGTGAAGGAAGGTAGGATTAGCAGAATGAACAATCAAGCACTTTCAGGGCACTCAGATTTTGCTAAGTATGGACCCAAGGATGTGCTATAAAAAGGGGTTTTGAGTTTCCGTGTATGCTTTTGCATTTCTGATATATTATGGTATCTGAAAAGGATCAGGTAATGGCATAATTGTTAACATGCCTCATTATTACTGTTTTTGAACAAAAATTAGGGGGATATTATTAAGAGGTACAGAGTAAGGGGAGGTTATTGCATTGCTGCTGTAATAGTACTTTTCATGTTTTAAAGATCCTCTTGCATTATGTATTTTGGAGGTAGAAGAATAATTTTTGTAATCCTCATTTCTTTTAATTTTAAAATATAAATATTCATAGCAGACATCAGAAGAGAACAAGCTAGGATTCTGCCTGTGGTAGAACATAAGAACTAGATGATTTTTATTTGTGTGAATAGCTGATAAAATAATAGTTATAAATATGAATTTAGCCAATGAATAGTAGATTTTATTGCCTTTTTTAGTGAATAATTCTGTTTATGATTATATGTTTAGTCAATGTTAATTATATTAAAAACAGTCTTATATTCATAGCGTGTGTCTAGAATATGCTGAAATACATTTTTGAAAACATTTTAAAATTGCATGTCTAACTTACAGATCTTAAATGAGCTAATGTAGATACATCTTTAAAGATATACTTATATATTTTACTTTTTAAGCATTTAAAATAGTACAATTCTAAAATGATAATTAGGAATTGATTTTCAAAAATCACAGGCCATCAAGTCAGTTGATTATATTGGCAATTTCACTAAATTATGGTTTAAAATCAGTTGGTAAATTGATATATCAGCCTTTTCACATGTAAGCATTCACATGTATTAAGCATTCTATCTTTATATGATTTGAAAAGTGTACATATAACTCAGATATAAAATGTAGATTACTTTATATTTTTTCTTTAATGTGATATAATCTGTGTTTTAAAGTAAAGCTTATGAGATTCCATAAGTCTTAGTAAAATGATTTAGCATGATAGTATGAATTGTGATACATAAAATAGTCAACCATATAAAGAATATTAGAGCTGAAAGAAATCTTAGACATCTTGTCTTTTTTTTTTTATTTCATTTTGTGGAAGAATGTGGTATTTAAGTGATTGAACAGATACGCATCTCAAAAAGCAGAGAGACTGTTGTCATTTACCTTTGAAAATGTGGCAGTATTATTTAGGATACTTTACAGTTATTTATCTCCTGCTTTCTACTTTATTTCTGCTCCCCTTCTGAAATAGAAAACTACATTCCCATCTCTAAATAGCAGGATTCTAACAATTAGGTATTTAAAGAAAATAGCTTTTACTATTTCCAGAGAATATAAATTAGTTAATTTAATCCCATCTGTTTGAAAATGTCAGATTTATGTAGTTTGACCTTTACAGTCAGAATTTTTTATTGGAATTTTTTTTAGTTTTTGTTTTCATTCACAATCATAGTTACTTGGAATATACCCAGGGAAAAGAATAATAATTTTTGTGCCTTTTAAAATGCTCATATATAGATATATCTCATATATTACAGGAAACATCATGTGGATATATGAAAAATACTACCAAAAGATAGTTATATATTAAATAAGATATTTATATCTTATTATATTAAAGTAGTAGGAGTAGTATATTAAAGTAGTAGAATGGCTTTTGTTCTCAGACTTTTGTTTAAAATTTTTCAGACAGTTTTTTTTTTTGTGAAAAACAGGAAGTATATACATAGATTTTTTTCTTAGAAGCTTGCTTTTTCAAACCTCTTCTAATAGTGTTCTTCATCATTAACCAATTTACTATTTTATCCTTTTGCAGAATATTGTTACATCTTACCAATTTTTCATATTGACAGACTCCTTGAAAAAAAAAGTCATATGGACAAATATAAAACACTGACCCCTAAGAAGAGAATTTAAAAAAAAAAATTCAGTTCTTTAAAATATGATATGAATTTGGATGGATGTAGAGAGAATGTAGCATTTCTAAGTATTGTATTCATATTAATATTATAAATAGTATGAAAAATTGATTTGTGAAGAGAAAATTATCCTAGAAGTATCAAAGTTGGGGATAAAATTACGATAAATGGTTTGAGAGAAGTTTTTATCAAATAGTTTTCCTTGGTATGCGATAGAAACAAACTTATGCTAAGTAAGAGTCAAGGATATGGTTAAAAATTATTTTGGGGGCTGGGCGCGGTGGCTTATGTCTGTAATCCCAGCACTTTGGGAGGCCGAGGTGGGCGGATCACCTGAGGTCGGGATTTCGAGACCAGCCTGACGAACATGGAGAAACCATGTCTCTACTGAAAAAACCACAAAATTAGCCGGGCGTGGTGGTGCATGCCTGTAATCCCAGCTACTCAGGAGGCTGAGGCAGGAGAATCGCTTGAACCCGGGAGGCAGAGGTTGCGGTGAGCTGAGATTGCGCCATTGCACTCCAGCTTGGGCAACAAGAGTAAAACTTTGTCTCAAAAAAAAAAAAAGAATTATTTTGGGGAGGGAGGGAAATTATAAAAGTGAATGAAAGACTAGATGAATGGTGTAACATGCATTTGTTAAGACAGTCTTGTCTAATAAGTGTTTGTTTAGTTAGGCAACATAGTCTAGTGGGTTAGTGTGTTTTGACCTGAGGCTGTCATGGGCAGAGTTAAGACAATGTAACCTGGTGGACCAGGGAAAAGGATGGGGCGAGTGATAACTATGCAAATTGGAACAACAAACTTTCACCGTTTTCCCTTCAAATGTCCTCATTAGCCTGCATCTCTAGGGCCAAGCTCCACTAGATTGGCAAGGTGAGACACCATCGAGCCGACTGAAAAGTAAAGCCACACCATCTCTTCAGATGTGTGTAAGGCGTAAATGTAATCATAAGAGCTGTGTGTTACTGAAGATCCTGCTTTTCTCCTTTAAAAGCCTCATGTTTATTTGAATTAAAACTTTTGAAAAACAGTGTATGTTTCTCTATCTTGTTAAACAGAAGTATGCTAAATATGATTGAATTTTTCTTAATTCAAATTCATTTTGCATTTTCTGTAGGTAGAGAACCGAACGACCAAGGTTATTAAAATTAGTACTAAAGTAAGAGTAGATTTTGAATAAGGGCCTTGAAGGTCTCTCTTGTTTTTAAGACATAGGAGCTTTGGTATCTGTCCTGACCTTTCCATTTCCACGTTCATTCCTTCATACTTTTCCTCTAGATTATGACAGTAGCCTCCTCATTCATTTTATTCAATAAACATATATTGAATACTTGCTGCATCTTAGATGCAAGGGCGTAGAGATATATCCTCAAGGAGCTCAGATGCAAGTGGTCAGAGACAAAAGTCAGTGATTACAGTGGTATGACAGGCATTATAATAGACAAGCTCATGGAACCTCAAGCGGGGAGGTACTTAACGGACCCTCTTAACTTTCCCTCATTTGGTGGTGAGAGGACTGAAGGAATTAAATTGTTTGATGAGGTGACTGATGCTCTCAGTTGAGCCAAGTCTGAAAGCATGCATAAAGGCTAGCTAGCTAGCTTAGGGAAAAAGAGAGTTTGTGTGAGCATCCCAAAGGAGGAGTCATGAAGATAAGAGAGGGCACAATGTGTTGGGAAAGCTGCAAATTGTTAAGTATGGCAAGAAAATAGGTGACGCAGGTGCCCAAACATGAAGAATCCGTGTAAAGATGTTTGGAAATTCTCTTAGGGTGATAGGGGGAGGAGGCGAGAAGAAGCATGATCATTTAACTCTGTGTGCCACCCTTCCATTGCTGTCTGAAATAGCTTTCTGAAACAATTTGCCATAAAACCTAGAATTCAGGCTTAACCTATGCAGTATTTCTGGCTGTATCACTGAATCTCTCCACGCACCCTCTGTGCCAGCTACATCAGAATACTTGCTGCTTCCCAAATGTGCTGCTCCATCTGGATGGCGAGTTTTTCCCTCCTTCTCCAGCAGTCACATTCCTTATCGATCAGCCTTCGGGTTCCAGTGCCACTCCTGCCAAAAAGCATGTTCTCTGACTTGTTCTCCCCTCACCTCTCTAGGTTAGATTGAATCGTTTCTTTCTTTATATTCTCTTAGCATTTTGCTTTTGCTTCTATTACTACACTTTAAAAATTCTATACGTGAAGGTTATATTTATTAAATTGACCAATAAATGTTAATTGCAATACATTTGTTGATTTGACTTACTGAACGTTTCTACTTCCATCCTGTTTTTTTAGCTGTGTTTTAGATGGTTAAAATTGCCATAATATGGTCTTAGATCAGCGAAATATTATAGCTAATAACTTAAGCAATAGAAAAATCCAAAAATGAACCCTTTCAGATATTTTGTAGATATTTCAGATATCGCAGATATTTTGTAGGTGGATAATCGTTTTCAGCTTATATTTAAAATGTACTCATTTTGCTATATATGTTGACAATTTAAGCTTACAAAACTAAAGTTATAGCATCTAATTTACTTTATTTGGTTGTAGGTTTGTAGTTCTTTATTTACAAAGGATTCATGCCCTTGACAAAAAAGAAGATACTATGACAAGAATTATTTAATGAGAACTTGAGAAATGGCTGCTTGTGACAGACAGTGTTCATTGTCCACCCAATCTCCATTCTCTCTTGTGTTTAGAGTGTTAGTGCCCTAGGTTAAAAAACAAACCAGCAAATGAACTCTCTTTCTTAAGATGTAAGCAAAAGCCTGCTGAGGATTTCTGGAAAGGTTTTACCTTCTGAGACAGTTGTCACCTCTGCTTTTCTGTTACATCTTTCTTTCTACCTGGAATGTGAGTGCAATTCATGGAGTAATGGCAGCCATGATGTGACCGTAAGGACAAAAGCAATATGGGGGAGAAGAAACATAGGAGGCTAGTCTTCTGTGACACCAGTGACACTAAGGAACATTTGTACCAACCCCTAGTTACCTCTAGAATTTTTGGCCTTTTACTTGTAGTCAAAGTGATTCTCACTAGTATGGTTTCTAATGTGATAAAGAATAAGACTAGAAGTAAAAGCATGTCATTTAAATATAAAACTAAAACACTGTTACAAAGTACTTTGTTCTGTGCTGGGATTTGGCAGTCGTATTTAGAAGTAGCATATATCCTAAGGTGAAACACGGATATGGCCATTAGAATGTGGTGAGAGGGATATTGATTTGGGAGTTGGAAGACCTGTGATCTAGTTTTACTATCATATGACTTTAGGTAAGTCAGCGAATGTCTTTGTGTCATGGTGTTTACTATCTATAATGTGATTAGATGTTCTCTAAGATCTTACAGAGCATTGACATTCATATTCTAATTAGTTTCTTGAAGCCATTTTTGTTTTTTATGGTAACCTCTTGAATTACAGTGTCAATTCATAATGCCTCCCTATGTTTACTCTTTGCATACAAGCACGCGCGCGCGCACACACACACACACACACACACACAACTACCTCCCGACACACACATTGATACATCAGGTAACAGTAGTCTTAGAAGGTTGTGCATTTGGCTTAGCTGTGACTAGCTTTTAGAGATTTTCACACGTGACCGCTAAGCTGATCCACAGTTACGTGAGTGGTTTAATGAAAAGGAAAGGCAGCGCAGAAGTGGTTAGCTAAGAGCGTGGGCATTAATCAGACAGACAGAGGTCTCGATCCTGGATTTGCTCGCTCATTTGCTGTTTAGCCTTGAGCAAGTTATGGAACTTCCCTGTACACTAGATTCTTTATCTGAAAAGTAGAGGTAATAATAGTGTATATTTTCCCAGGTGTTATGAGGGCTGTGTGAGGTCATGTGTATGAGGGACTCACACAGTGCCTGCCACACTGTAAGGAATAAAGGTAAGCTGCTGTTGGTATTTTTGTTATTTTTATTATTGTTGTTATTCTGTTGCTGATATTGCTCTTCTGATCTCTTAGATGGCTAATAATTTGTTTGTAGGTGTTTATGTCTGGAACAGAATACAGAGCTCTGTGGATAGCAGTCTGTTTCAATATAGTGATGTTTGTTAATTTCTATAACTGTGTCAGCTCATTTGTACTTGGAAAACTATAAGCAGTATATTTATTCCTTAAATTCAGCTATGTCATATTTGAAGTCAAAATTGTGTATGTTGTGGGTAGAGTTAGTTAATAAAAGTTTTGTCAAGACTTTGTTTTAGGGAGATGTATTTAGTACAGGTTGTAATTAATTTAATAATGTTTTAAAGAAAAATGAGTCCATTTTGTTTAGCTCGTTGGCCCAGTGTATTGTCTTAACTATGGAAAGGAGTTTTTGAAGTAAGTTGGTAAATTTTGCAGTCAGTTGTTGCTTGAAACTTGAAATGACCTTGAAAGGTTTTCTTTGAATTGTTTAAACCATTAAATTTGTAAACATATACAATTATTTGTCAATTAAAAATAAAATGAAATTTAAAGAATGAAATTGACTGCAATGGACTATTTAAGCACCATTCTTTCCCCTCCCCCATTTTTAAATTTTCGAGACAAGGTCAGGCTCTGTCAGCCAGGCTGGAGTACAGTGGTGAGATCATAGTTCACTGCAGCCTTGAACTCCTCGGCTCAAGTGATTTTCCTGCCTCAGCCTCCCAAGTAGCTGGGACTACAGGCATGCGCCACCGTGCCTGGCTAATTTTGTCTTATATTTGGTAGAGATGAAGTCTCACTGTGTTGCCCAGGCTGGTCTCAAATGCCTGAGCTCAAGCAGTCCTCCTGCCTTGGCCTCCCAAAGTTTTGGGATTACAGGCGTGAGCCACTGTGCCCCGCACCATTCCTCTCTTGCTTGTCTCTGAGTCTCTTAGTAAAGCAGGTCCGTATATTAATTAAGAATATGGTCTGAACTCTCCAGCATGGTAGCCAGTAGCCACATGTGGTTGAATAATTAAAATTAAGTAAAATAAAAAATTTAGTTCCTCATTCTAGCCACATATTAAGTACTCAATAGCCACATTGCAGCAAGCTCTGTTGGACAGTATTGGATAGATTGTATAGCCAGATTGCCCGAGTTCAGCTCTCGAATCCACTACTTACTAGTCTTGTGACCTTGAGCAACTTAGTTTCTCTGTGCTTCAGTTTCCTCATATGTAAAATTGGATTAATAACCTCAAACAAAAGTTCTTATAAGTTCGTGAATGTGGATTGAAGGAGGCAACATTTGTAAAGTGCTTAGAATGGCCCCCATTTAAGCACACAGTAAATATGTGGCGTTTGGTAAATAAACAAATATGCGTGGTGTTCAGATTTATTATGCTTTGTGTGTGTACCGATTTTTTTGTCCTTTCGGTATCTTTTATTGCCCTTTGAGAAACTGTTTATATATGCCAACCTGCTGAATGCATTTTTCATGTTTCTCTTTTACCACAGTTTAGACTCATGTTTCTGCCACACACTCTAGCTTAAAAATTTATTATGAGTGCTCACTGCTTTCAGGGTGAAGTACAGCCTCCTTCATCAGGCATTTCAGAGAGTCCAGCCTGCCCTTCCCAGCTCATTTTCATAGCCATCCAGCTCTAGCCCTGTGTTTTATTCCATTAATCACTGCCTTTGTTGTTAAAAATATTTAGTGGTGATGGCCATCTCTTCCAATGGCATATAAACTCTCCTGGCATGTGGAGCACTATTATCTGTGCATATGATAAATGCTGGACATATGCTGGTTGAAGAGTAAGAATCTTCAATATTTGAATTGCAATCAGTATTGCTATTAATATCAAAACTACGTTTGTTCAAGTAATCTGAAGTAAAGGGAATCCAAAACCCATTCTGCCACCTGTGATGTCAGCATTAGAAATGTACTCCTCCTTAACCAGCCTCTCCACTCCTGTCCATATTGGCTTCAATGGTGAGCGGCTGGATAGTAGCTGTGATCACTGCAGTTTGCTACCCTACGCTGTGGTGACATGCACATCACCATTGCAGATGCTTTCTGGATGATATATTCTTTTTTTTTTTTTTTCAGACGGAGTCTTGCCCTGTCACCCAGGCTGGAGTGCAGTGGCGCAATCTCGGCTCACTGCAAGCTCCGCCTCCTAGGTTGACACCATTCTCCTGCCTCAGCCTCCCAAGTAGCTGGGACTACAGGAACCCGCCACCACGCCCAGCTAATCTTTTTGTATTTTTAGTAGAGACATGGTTTCACCATGTTAGCCAGGATGGTCTCGATCTCCTGACCTCGTGATCCACCCGCCTCGGCCTCCCAAAGTGCTGGGATTATAGGTGTGAGCCACTACGCCCGGCCTGGATGCTACATTCTTAAAGGATGCTGATTTTATCTTGGTTTCTTGCTTTTTTAAGTTATCTCTCATGTTCTTTGATTTGCTCTATGTTGCTTCTTTCTGTGGTCTTCTTGGGTATACTCAAGTGTGTATCGCATATGTTTAACAAAGGAAAAATAGTGTTAAAAGAAAAAGTATCACTTAATATAAGAAGCAAAACTTAGTTTTTGTTTCTATGATAGTGACATCCAGGTATGATTTAGGTTATTTTTCACTTTAAACGGGCTATTAACTTCACGTGAGAAAAAAACTGTAGAAACGTTAACTCCTGTAGAATGATGACTATCTGTGGTGTAGTAAGATCATACAACTTCTCTACTTGTTACTGTGAGTTGCTTAATAAATGGCAGTACAAGTGTCAAATCCATAATTAGTCAATATCAAGAGCTGCATTTTGGATTGCATGTACTGTCCCAAATATATGTTGTGCAAGTTACTTTGTATCATGTTAATGGAGAAAAGAGTGGATATTATGAAATCAGCAATATAAATCAAATGTATATGTGGTCCTGCAATGTAATTGAAGGTACTCAGTGTTCTCAGACACTCATGCAATATCTTGTGTTGCTTTCTCAGATTTTTTAGGTGTATCATAGGGGATAGCTGGGAACTGGTAGAGCAGAGGTACTAAGTTCCACCTGGAAATGCTTTAGAGTAGCTCTTTGAATATGTCTTTACTTATTATCTTACAGCGTATGTGTATATGATTATTTTCTAGAGGGTCGTACCCTTTATTAAGCTGTGAGCTTCTTGAGGGCAAGGACTGCAATTCATTAATCATTTTGGAGAAAAGTGAATAATTCTGAAGAATTCGGTGGTTCATGAGCTTGCCTGGTATTTGTTTCTCTATGGCTTATCATCTAAGTGAGATAACAGATAGTAGATAATTGATAAATTTAATCTGTTACCTAATTACTGAGAGGATTCGATTCTTGCTTTATGTTATTACTGAAACAGACTGCCCAGTAATCTTCTCTAGAGAGCAATTAGGTTTGCAATGAGTTATTTTATTGAGAATGCTACTTGAAATTAAATGTTTATAGCACTATCTTGATATAATTTAAATATAATTTAAATGTGCTGAAGTATCTTCATTCAGATAACTTGTTACCCCTTAACAAAAGGCTGCTTGAGTATTGTTTCTCTCCCATTTGGCAAACACCAGATGCAGTGATTAATAAAGGTCATTATGCTACTTAGTCATGGAGCGCTTTTAATGACTGTTACCTGAACATCTGCTAGATTCACGATGGCAGTTACCAGAAACATCTAACAAAATATACATGCTGTGCTTTGAAAATCTGGCTTGGACTAATCTAAATGACTACCTAAGAACATTTGAATATTCCCTGAAGTTTTATTAATTGTGAGAAAGCCCTTATCTTTCTGTAATGTGAACAATCCAAAATGTCAACAAAATGCTAATTTGGAATGGCTGTCCTTGACAATCTCAGCTTCCTGAGGGCTGCATGCTCAGGGGCTGGGAGTCGTCTGTGTAGAGTCGATGGAGACCCTGGCTCTCTTGCACTTCTGATTATCATGGGAAGCCTCGCCTTGGAAATGTGGGACTGGAGTTGAGCTGAAAAGAAGGAAAAACTTTACCTAGACTCTGCAGGGAGCAAGTTGAAAAGCAGAGAATGGGTATATTAATTATGGGGTTTTTGAAAACAGCACTAAGTACTTTTCAGAAAAACTTATTTTGAAATAATTATGGATTCATAGGAAATTGCAAAACAGTACCGAGAAATCCCATGTACTTTTTACTCAGTTTCCTCCATTTTTATGTAACTTTAGTTAAATATCAAACCAGGATATTGATATTGGTACAATCCACAGACTTTATTCAGATTTCATTAGTTTTACATGCATGTGTGTGGTGTATGTGTGACATTTGTGTGTATGTGTGTGTGTGTGTGGTGGGTCCTCGGCAATTTTATCATGTGTAGATTTGTGTAACCGTCATCAGAACCAAGGTTACAGAAGAGTTTCATCACCACAGGTTTCCTTAACGCTATGCCCTTTCTATCATACCCTTCCCACACCTCCCTGCACTTCCCTAACCCCTTGCAATGAATTTGTTCTCCATCTCTATAAATTTACCATCTTGAGAATGCTATATAAATGGAATCATATATTATATTATCTTTGGGGATTTTTTAAAACTTAGTATCCATGAAATTGTTTCATGTATCAATGGTTTGTCTCTTTTTTATTGATGAGTAGTATTCCACAGTATGGATGTACCAGAGTTGGTTTAACCATTTACACACTGAAGGATATTTGGATTGTTTCAAGTTTTTTATTTATTTTATTTTATTTTTTATTTTTTTTACTATTACAAATAAAGCTACTATGAACATTCAGATTTTTGTGTCGACATAAATATAAATTTTTATTTCTGTGGGATAGATACCCAGGAATGTGATTCATAGATTGCATGGTAAGTGGATGTCTACTTTTTCAAGAAACTACCAAAAGACCCTTACTATTATTCTTCTAAAACTTATTTACTAATGCCTAATAAAACTAGAATACTGAGAAATTAGGCAATTCACTTATGATTGTACTGTGTGGAATTCCACGTTTTTAGATCAAGAAACAAGTGAAAATTTGGCAGATAAAATAGACAAGTTACAGAAATACAAGTGGCTAACAACATATGAATGTTGAGTGTCACAAATAATTAGAGGACTGTTCAGTGTTAGAATTACATTTAGTTGCAAGTAATTTAAAACCTGGCTGAGTGGCTGAAACAGTCCAGGCTAGCTAGACTCAGAGTAGTCACAGTGGCCAAGCAATGTCTTGAGTGACCCGGCTCTTTTCACGTTTCTCCTCAGCCACACTTAATCCTTGTCCTCAGAGATACGTGATGACTGCTGCGTCTTCATCCTTAGGTCCAAGAGCCAAGCAAGAAGAAAAAGGAAAAGGGGAAATCTGAAGTTGGTGTCACCTGTGTAAGGAATGCAAAAGCTTTTCCTTAAGCCATCAGCCGGAACTGTGTCACATGGCTGCTGCTAGCTGCAGGGGGGTCCTGGGAATGCAATTTTTTTTTTTTTTTTTTGAGATGGAGTCTTGCACTGTCCGCCAGGCTGGCGTGCAGTGGTGCGATCTCGGCTCACTGCAACCTCCGCCTACCGGCTTCAGCCTCCCAAGTAGCTGGGATTACAGGCGCCAGCCACCACATCCAGCTAATTTTTTGTATTTTTAGTAGAGACGGAGTTTCACTATGTTGGCCAGGCTGGTCTTAAACTCCTGACCTCGTGATCTGCCTGCCTTGGCCTCACAAAGTGCTGGGATTACAGGCATGAGCAAATTTCTTTTTTTTACTCAGAACATCCTTGCTTAAAAAGATCTGGCATTCTTTTAGGAAGATGAGAGAATACTGGATAGGAAATTACATTGTTTGAGAATGCATATATAAACAATAATGAAATATTGTTTCAAGACTGGCTAAAATTAATAAATGGGACCAGTATTCAATGTGATGAAAAAGGTGCTCACATATTGTTGGTAAGAGAACAAATTGGTATTCTTTATCAAAATTAAAAGTTGTGTTTCATCTGGCCTACTAATTCTAGTCTGCAAGTCAGTATTCTATAGAAATACCATTTCTGCATCTGCGCAAAAGATAACATGCACAAAGATCCTCACTGTAGCATTGTTTACAATACCCAAACCAGTAGAACTTATCTGTCAGTAGAAGAAAGGTTAGTGCATTATGGCAAATCCATATAGTGAAGTACAATAGTATTAAGAAGAGTAAGCTTAATTTATCTGAACAGACCTGGAAAAATGTCTATGAAATATATTTGAGTAGAAAGATAATTGCAAAGCAATGTGCTTAGTATGGTTCTGTTGTGTGCCTTATACATATGCGTGTGTTCGTATATGTTCTTGTGCACGTATGCACATGTGTATCCTGTGTATGGTATGTTTAAATCTGTTTTAGAATGTGCAAAGGAGAAAGACTTTATGGAAACCCACCAAAAAAGTTAACATTAGAGGGTTCATTTGGGAAGGGGTGTAGAGGAAGAGAGTTCACTTTTCTTAATGCATTTCTGTATTGCTTGAATATTTTATAAGCATGAATTAAGTGTTCAGTTAGGAAATGAGGTATTCTACAATGTTATTTTTTTTGGATGTATAAAGCACAAACATATTTTAGCTATTCTGGATGAAACTACTTAAAATGTAATTTTACCGTCCTATGACATAGAGTATACTAAATGTTTTTTCTTTGCAACTCAGGGCCTAATGAGATATTCAGGGCTGCTTGAGTATGCTCGAAATAGATGTAGATTAACTGCTTTTTAATTCTTCCCATATACATTTTTTTAAGCTTTCTGACTCCTTTAGGTTGGCAGTTACTTCTTGTACATTATTAGTGTATCTGCTTTTAATAGCTCTTTTCCTGTTTTCTAATTTTCTGCTTCTAGTCTTAACTTTGACTTGGGAATGAAGCAACCATCAACCTGGTTTTAATTGTACCTAAAAATTGTTCTTAATAACAATAGGATAAATTAGTTCTGAGTAAAGATTTTGAGAGACTTGATTATGGATAAAATAATAAACTGTATTGTTGTTTGAATATATATATATATATATATAATATATATATATTTTTTACTGTTTGGAGGCCTTTTTTTTCTTCTTTGTTTACCTTTGAGTCTCAGCTGTGTTTTAGTTACTTGAGTCAGTGAAGTATTGCCAAACCTAGGAGTCTTTTAAAAACAGATAACCCAAAAGTGTTGCTTCCTCTTTTAGAGAAAGTTATTACGGTACTAAGGAAAGGAGGGGGGTAGCATGTTTTAGGGCAGAGTTATATAAGAAAAAAAAATCCTGAGCCTTAAAGTATTCTGCTCCTTACTAGTAAGATGATTCTTGACTTTGCTGACAAGTTGATCATTAACCCTGAGTAATGTGGTATCTAAAGCATAGAAGTTAGACTGGGATTTGAATCTTGGTGCCGTCCTGTACCTGCTGAGTGATGTTTCTGATCCTTGATTTTCTTATGTTTAAAAGCTTATTTTGCTTAATATTAGTACATGTTTTATAATTGCCTAGGTGGCACTTTCAGAAGTTGCTGTGAACATTAAGTGGAGATAGTTTATGTAATATATCTGGCATAGAGCAAGTACTCAGTGACTGTTATTATAGAAGACAATGGGAAATTAGGAATTTGCAATGTATCGTGCTTTTTTGAACGAAATGAGACTTTATTATTTTATTTTTATGGAATTATTATTCTCAGTGTAGAAAACTTGGACAACGTAGAACAAGTAAGGGGAAGATTTTTTAAAAAAATCTTTTATAATCTCCTTAGAGAAGACCTCTGTTAATATTTTATTGCCTTATCAGTCTTTTTTTCATGCACAAATACTACTTGCTGTATAGACTCAAACCTAACTCCTTAAAACAGACTTATATGGTGTGGTGGTATCCCAATTTTGCAGATAGGGAAAATGAAGCTTAGAGAAGTTAAGGTAAAAGAGCTAACAGGTTGTAGGGCTAGTAGTCATCATCAGGACTGGTGCACTATTGGAACAAAATGGGACTCTCCTTCCCCAGGGAGTTGAAAGCAGCCATCTATCTCCACGATCAAGTCACAACAATTTATGTTTATAAGATGTTAGATCCAGGCTTAGGTTGTACTTTGTGATTGTTTAAGAAAGCAAAGTAGGTTTGGGCTTAGTGCATTGTTTTTCCATTTATTACTGTAGTATAATGTTACTTAGATGATATATATATATGTATGTTTGGAGCTCCATACATGTTAAATTTCAATAATAAAGGTCGAAACGAGACTGTATACTATCCTAAAGTGATTATTACTCTCCAAGCTGTACTGTCTTACTAGTGTGCGTGGATGCCCTATGTGTAAATTTTGCGTGTTGAATCACTGAATGGTTTGGAAAGTGACCTTAAAGTTGCTGTTTTGTTTGTACTAAAAAATGACAAAGTAGGCTATATCCTTATTTTTATGATATTTTTGAAATTCTAATTTTTCTGTTTATATAACTTCAAGGTGAGAAGTAGAAATTGTTATTTGGGTCAATAAATATTTCCTTTAATTTAAACATCCTAAAGCATTTACACATTTATTTATAATCTTCAGAACCTCCCCAAGAAACTAGTTTGTATATCATATATACTGCATATGTAGTACCTGGGTACACACACACCCCTACCTGGTTTTAGAAAAGACTTACCTTTGTTGCTCTATTACACTTGGACCTGCAGCTTAGAGAATTTTGCAGGGTCTTGTTTCCGATATTTTGAAAATTGTACTGTCATGACTATAGAAGTCTGTAACCAAACTCGACTTAGTGGCTTATATTGCTTTTCAATGTTTTGTTTTTCAAAAGTAGGTTAAAAATTGTTAGTAGTTGATCTAAATATATCATCTAGGCAATTACCAAATATGTACTAATATTAAGCAAAGTAAACTATGGTTAGTTGTAGTTATACTTCCATTTGGGCATTGTCAAAAACTCCAGGAAAAAAAAGTCCCTGTATTTGCTCTTTGTAGCAAACGAGGGATGGATCTGTTTGAGTTTAGATATTTATATGTAATTTCAGTAGGAGTTTACTTTAAATTTCATTAGGATTAAATGGATATAGTTTATATTGAGGTAAATAGATGTGATAATCTTTAGAGGCTTGGAGGTTTTAAGGAGCCAAGTGTGTTTGAGGAAAAAGTCCAGTGTGGTTTGATTATGGGTTCCATGGATGGGGAGTGGTAGGAGGTATGCTTGGAATTCTGCAACCACAAATGAGGACCAGACCATCAAGGGTTGTTTTGACACACTGGGATTTATCCTGTAGGTATTCAGGTGTAGATGTCCAGATTAGCATTCAGGGAATATAAGGGTAGAGGGACATATTAAATAGATAAAGCATTCACCATTTTGGGAATGGATGTATTCACTCATGGGAGAACTTGTTGAGGACGAGGAGAAAAACTGGAGGAACCCTTTTTAGTAAGGGCCAGAACTTCGGAATATTGCTGTGGAATGATGATCCTGAGATGATGGTGTCATGGGCATTTTGGAGATCAGTGTGTATACTTGTTGTACATACTTATAGGAGTGGCATTTAGTTGGGGGACAAAGGAGCAGGGAAGAAGAGGCCAGGGCTCCAAAGTTGTTTGGGAGCCACCTGTCACTGTTTTGGTACCACCTGTCGCTTCGCAAATAGGGTCTTGTCAACTTTACGGCTACTTTGTACCTGTGCATCTGAATGTGACTGGAGAGTTCTCCACAACCTTCCTTTAAATTCAAGATTGTGAACCTCAGGTAGGCTTTTGATGCTGCCTGACAGTCATACTGTATACTTCATTCACTTAGATGACTGTTTCAGTTTTCCCTTTTTTCTCATACCTTCCGCGTTTCTTCTCCATACCTATTTTCAGCTGGTTATCTTGCTTCCTTATGGAGAAACTTGAAGCCAATGGCTTCATGGACCAGCAGACTAATACTGTTGGAGCTCCCTGCATCTCGTTAACTGAACCCATGTATTCTACCTGTTCCTGCTACAGATGAGCCCGCCCGTGTAGTATGCCATGTGTGCACTGCCCTGTGTGGCACCACCCTCTTTCCTCATGCACTAGAGTCTCTGTGCTCTCATGCACTCGTGAACATTGCTTACTCAGCTCTCTTGTTCTTTCGTGTCATCAATGTTCTCCCCTAATAAGTCTACACTCACTAACTCCAATTCATTCTCTTCCATTTTCCTTTAAATCCACTGTCGTCAGGTTTCAGCCCCATGACTCTGATTTAACGCTAGAGATAATCCAATTTAAAATTTGCATTTAAAATCATGGCATCTTTGAGCTAGAATATGTTATTCACACTGCTTTCTGTGGTAAGTATATTTGGAAAAATACACAGATCCTGCCATCCATCTATAGTTGTGGTTTTATCGTAAAAAGGCACTAAAAATGGTAACAAATTCTAATTGCTATTAAGTGTTGGGTATTGTACTTGCCTCCTTTGCTGTATTGGGCTCTATTTGTCTCTTTTTATGACTATTCCTTAATCCTTTCTATTACTAAGGAGTTGTCTAGTTTTAATTAAGCAGACAGTTTCAAGTTCTCTCTCTAATATGTTGAATAAAATTGTGATTGAATGAGCTGATTGAGCATGAAAACAGCATGCAGAAATTTAGAAGTTTAGAAAACAGAATATCCAGCAAAGTTAATCTGATGTATAATTAATGACATTTATAATTAATAATAAATTATATGCTTTAGATTTTAGTAATCTATTAAAAATGCTTTTGAGGATATGGAGTTGTTCTAGACTTCTTCTGAAATTCTCTGTGATCCAAAGCGAAGTGGTCAGTGGGCTTTTCATCTGTGCGTGCAAGGAATATAAAAAAACCAGGTCCTCAGTTGGCTGGTACCCTTGAAATTGAGAGCTAGATTGATAGACTCAAAAGACTGGATGTGATTGATTTGTTGTTAGAGTTCTAAGTGTCTCTCTGACCTCTCTATGTATTACAATCTTCCATTATGGTGTAAACTTGTCTACTTTTTCTTTTAATTTTGCCAATTTTTGCTTTATGTGTTTTGAAACTGTGTTACTAGGTCCATCCTTAGGTCTTCCTCTTGGGTTGATTGTTTTGTTGCAATAAAATGTTACTTTGTATCTCCTGTAATGATTATTGCCTAAGTCGGCTTTGTCCGAGATAAGTACAGTGTTATCAGATTTCTTTAGTTTCATGCTTACATGGTATATATAACTTTCCCATTCTTTTACTTTCGTATTTGCTGAGTGCTTGTTTGTTTATGATCTCTCTTTTCTAAATAGCATATATCTGTTTTTTTACATTTAATCTGATTGCCTTTGTCTTTTACATGGTGTGTTTAGTCTGTTTACATATGTTATTGTCATGTTTGGGTCTAAATCTGACTTTCTGTTTCTATCTTTCTACATGTTTTAAATTCTTTTTCTCCTGTAATTTCTTGTCATCTTTTGGATTATTAAAATAGTTTTTATTATGTATTCTCATACCTGTTATAAATCATTTTGTTATTCTTTAGTGTTACCCTAGATTACATTATTAATCCCTGACTTATTCAAATTTATAACAAATTAGTACTGATGTCTGTTTTCCAGAAAAATATAAGAACCTCAAGGTAGTTAACTCCATTTATGCCCTGTCTGCCTTTAGGGTTATTGTTGCTTTATGTTTTAATTGTATATAGATAGTAAACCCCATGTGTTTAGTATCCATGTATTTATGCTTTCCATATCTCTGTATTTCTTCCTTCATGACTGTTTGTCCATCAAGGCTCGTGTTTTTCTGCTCGTAGAACCCCTTTTATTATTTTATTGTGTGTGGGCTCACCATTAAATATCTCAGGCATTATCTGGAAATGTCTTTATTTTTGCCTTCAGTTTTGAAGGAAACTTTCAGAATGTCTTGAAATCCTAAGATGCTGGTTATTTTAGCATTTTAAGAGTGTAATTTCATTATCTTCTGACTTTCATAGTTTCTGTTTAGAAATTTGCAGTTGATCTTATTGCTGCCCATTTGAAGGTTGTCTTTTTCTTGGACTGCTATTTTAAGATTTCTTCTTTGTTTTTAATTTTTGGAAGTTTTACTCTGATGTGTCCAGGTATGTTTTTCTTATATTCTGCTTGGGGTTTGTTGTGCCTCTTGAACTGGTGAGTTCCCCTTCTTGCTTATTAGCTATTTAGAAACTGCTTCTGTACCATTCTATCTGTCCTCTCTAGGACTCTAACTGCATGTACATTAGACCATTTCCTTGTGTCTCATATGTCTCCTATGCTCTTTCATGTATTTTCTATCTTTTATTCCTCTTCTCTCTCTCTCTCTCTCTCTCTTTCTCTCTCTCTCTCTCTCTATATATATATATATATATTTTTTTTTTTTTTTTTTTAAGACCGAGTTTCACTCTTGTTGCCCAGGCTGGAGTGCAATGGTGCGATCTCAGCTCACTGCAACGTCCACTTCCCGTGTTCAGTCTATTCTTCTGCCTCAGCCTTCTGAGTAGCTGGGGTTACAGGTGCCTGCCACCATACCTGGCTAATTTTTGTACTTTAGTAGAGACGCGGTTTTGCCATGTTGGCCAGGCCGGTGTCAAACTCCTGACCTCAGGTGATCCACCTGCCTCGGCCTCCCAAAGTGCTGGGATTAGAGCCGTGAGCCACTGCACCTGGCCTCATAGGATTCTTAAAAAAAAAAACCAAAAAAAAAAAAAAACAGGCCAGGCGCGGTGGCTCATGCCTGTAATCCCAGCACTTTGGGCAGATCATGAGGTCAGGAGATCGAGACCATCCTGGCTAACATGGTGAAACCCCATCTCTAGTAAAAAAAAAAAAAAAAAAATTAGCCGGGCATGGTGGCAGGCACCTGTAGTCCCAGCTACTCAGGAGGCTGAGGCAGGAGAATAGCATGAACCCAGGAGGCGGAGCTTGCAGTGAGTGGAGATCGCACCACTGCACTCCAGCCTGGGTGACAGAGCAAGACTCTGCCTCAAAAAAAAAAAAAAAAGCTGCCTTACTTTGTGGGTCTATCTCTGTTTCCTTTTTTCTTTTTTTTTTTCTTGGTATTGTGTCTTCATATGCCTTGTAATTTTTTCTTGGATATCAGATAGTACATATGAAAAACTTGTAGAGGTTTTGGTTCAGCTGTTAACTTCTTGCAGGCAGCAAAATAAAAGGCAAAACGACTTAGTCCAATCATGTTTGAGCTGTCTGAATTTCAGTATTTATAAAGCTTCACTTATTTCTGGTTCTCCATTGATCCTAGGGCATAGTCATTCAGGGGCCTGAGCTGGAGTCTGGGTGCTTACCAGGTTGCTGCCCCTTTAGTGGATCCCGAACTCCAATTTTTATTTTCTCAGGACTGCCACAAGTTCTGTTTAGCTTTTACATTTTTTATTGTTACTTTCTGCCTGGTTTCTCTCAGTCTGTGGTGCTTGTGAATGGGCAGATGCTTTGAGGAGTTAAAGGGCTCAGATTTTGGGTTGATTTCTCACTGCTTTCTTTTTCTGTAGGATCTTGGCCCCTCATGCTTTGTGCCCTGAGCTCTAGTTTTGTCTCCCAGCCATGTGAAACTGAAAACCCTTGAATTTGCTTCCTCTGAGCAGTTTCTATTTGGGGCTGCACCGTTGCTCTTTCTTCTGTGTGTACTCTGCTCTCTTGCACCCACCTTCCTTCACTCCTTCTGTCTGCAATACAAATGTGATGGCTGGAGATCCAGCAACCATCTTTACCTAATGAGTTAGCTTTAAGAATGGAGGCCTTACAGAGGATAGAGGAGAAGAAAGATGGAAGGAGCCTGGATCTTTGTAGACTCTAGAGTCCCCATATCAGACCTGGATGACTTATATCTAGATTTCTTAGACATCAGGAGAGACATAAACATCTTGTCTTGTTTTAATCTTGCTTTTTTTTTTTTTTGAGATGGAGTCTTACTCTGTTGCCCAGGCTGGAGTGGCACGATCTCGGCTCACTGCATCCTCTGCCTCCCGGGTTCAAGCAGTTCTCTTGCCTGAGCCTCGCGAGTAGTTGGGATTACAGGCGCCCACCACCATGCCTTGCTAATTTTTGTATTTTTAGTAGAGACGGGGTTTCATCATGTTGGTCAGGCTGGTCTCTTAACTCCTGACCTCAGATAATCCACCCACCTCAGCCTTCCAACGTACCGGGATTACAGGCATGAGCCACCACACCCAGCCTAATCTTGCTATTTTTTGTTATACTGAGACAAATCTAATATTGATGAATGGAGTGAGGGTTCAATGAATGGATGTAAGTATATATTCCCATAATATATTAAGGAACATTGATTTTCAGCCTTTTATTTAGTTTTGGCATACATAACAGGTCACCTGAGTGAGTAGTCTCGTAAGTGAGTTATATATTATTTCTGGTATCCTTGCTGAAATGACATCCACACAAGGAAACCTGGAGGCTGAAGTTAGTGAGAGGAGTATTATTTTAGAGAAAGATTTGAATTTCAGTGTTGTTAATTGTCATTATTGGCAAGTTACTTGCGACATGCCTGCCAAATGATCCCAATAGATCACACTTGGGATTATCGTACACTGTCTTGAAACAGCTTTTTCTTTGCATTCAACAATTCAGTAGCCAAAATATGGTTGTGGATTAATGTGATAGTGGAGCAAATGTAAAAGGAAGGATGATTGAAAAGAATATTAAAAACTTAGTGAGAAATTACAGGTAGAGGGGTGAAGGATAAATAAAATGTTAAAAATGATGCCAGTGTTCTCACTTATAAGTAGGAGCGAAACAATGGGTACACATAGTCATAGAGAGAGGAACACACATTGGAGACTCCAAAAGGTGGGAGGTGGGAGGTGGGTGAGGTTTGAAAATTACCTGCTGGATACATTATTCTTTATTGGGGTAATGGGTACACTAAAAGCCCAGACTTCACCACTACACAATATATCCATGTAGCAAAACTGTGCTGGTACCCACCGTCCCCCAAATCTATTAAAAAAATAATAAAGCAGCAAAGCTTTTGTATTTAAGGCCTGAGATGGTGTGATGGTGTTGGTAGAAATAGGCAAATTAGAAAGGGGTTCCTTGTAAGGAAATAAGTGTTTCATTACCTAAAGCTAAGAATATGTTTAGTGGATATGTTTCCCATTGGTGTGTATGAATTTTCTGCATAATGTGAATTGTGTTACACCAATATAAAAGAGTTTCCTTGATCTTATTCCCACCCTAAAGGATGTTATAGAACTTCACGAAACCCGTGGTTGCAGTTAGTTATACTCTTACACATTCCACAGCCACCCCTATCCGTAGGCAGGATTTCAAGGACTAATCTTAAAACCACTTATCAATTGTTATGCATGTGGCAAAACTATGACCACATTGAAAACAGGAATTCAGCTTAAAGCAGCTTTATTTCCTGATTTTTAAAAGGATTATGATTAACATTGTAGGACTTAGGGTAGTATCTGTTCACATTTTTGAGGCATGCACTGAAGGATGACTCACTATCCTGACTCACTTGTTTAAGTTCACTGTCATTCAGAAGCTCTTTCATTCTGCTTTTCTTTTTCTGGTTTTCATTTTTACCCCAGTGAATAGAATTATTATGGTAAGTCTCACATTGCTGAATATAACCTTTGTTTTTTCTTAATTGGTGTGTGTATGCCACGCCTCTAAGCACATTCAAATCTTTTACTAAAGATGGCTGTCACTTCAATGTTTAGTCTTGGCAGGAAGTATAGTGTAGTGGGAATTAGCAATGTTTAAGAGTAGTGAAACAGACTTCCTTGTTAATAAGATGAATATATAAATACTATATTATTTACTTTAGTGGAAATATGCACCTGCTATTTAGGTATGTACTATAAATTTAGTTGTAACCTAACCAACTAAAGCCCATTTTAGGAAGTACCATCAGGCCTGGTAACTGTCTCTGCTTAACAAAACAATTGAGCTGCCCCAACTATTTCAAAGAATAATTTGATACAAAATTACAGTGAAATAATTTGAATAGTCCTTAAAACTTATGATGGAATCTGACCATTAACTTAAGATCCTAGGTGAATAAACTGAAGTTGTAGAATGTCAGTGAGCTTTGCTACACTATATAGACGTTAAACATAGTTAAGTGAACAGGACTTAGAGTCAGAGAGGCCTGAGTTTGATCTGTGGCACCACCACTCAGTAGCCATGTAATCTGGGGCCAACATTGATCTCTCTAAGTCTCATTTTTCTCATCGCTGCGATGGTATCTTTATCACTATGGTTGTGATTACGATTAAACTAGATAATTCTTGTTCATTCAGTTAGTCTTTCAGTAACTTTATTGAGCCACCAATTAGATGTCGGGCACTGTCCTAAGCACTGGTTACAGTGGTAAATGACATGGTCTGATCTGTCGGTTCAGTGGACCAAAATAAACAAGTAAACAAACATACATTTTCTAGCATTTCATATAAATGAAGTTCTACAGTATGAGGTCTTTTGTGTTTGACTTCTTTTATTTGCATTGTTTCGTGTTATCAGCAGTTTTTTCCTTTTTGTTGTTGAATAGTATTCCAAAGTATGAATTAACCAAAATTTGCTTACCTTTTCACCAATTGATGGATATTTAGGTTGTTTCTAGTTTTGGGCTGTATGAACTTTCACATAAAAATTTTTATAAATAAATGTTTTTGTTTCTTTTGCGTAGATACCTAGGAGTGAGATTGCTGGTCAGTATGATACAATTTTATATCTAACTTTATAAGACACATGCTCTCATTTCTAACATGGCTGTACCATTTTGTATTTTCACGCATGCTGCAGGAGAGTTCTAGATGCTCCATATCCTTAGCAGCACTTGATGTTTTCAGTATTTTTAACTTTGACCATAGTGGTACCTCAGTCGTGGTATCTCAGTGTGATTTTAATTTACATTTCTCTAATTATTAGTGGTTTGGGGCATCTTTTAGTGTATTTTTTGGCCATTCATATATCCATGTGTCTTTTGTGAAGTGTCTATTCAAATCTCTTGCCTGTTTTTTTTTTAATTTTTTTTATTATTTTGTTTTTATTTATTTATTTTTTGAGACGGAGTCTCACTCTGTTGCCCAGCTGGAGTGCAGTGGCGCGATCTCAGCTCACTGCAGCCTCCGCCTCCCAGGTTCCAGTGAGTCTTCTGCCTCAGCCTCCCTGAGTAGTTGGGACTACAGGTGTGTGCCACCACGCCCGGCTAATTTTTGTATTTTTAGTAGAGATAGGGTTTCACCATGTTGGCTGGGCTGGTCTTGAACTCCTGACCTCAGGTGATCTGCCCACCTTGGCCTCCCAAAGTGCTGGGATTACAGGTGTGAGCCACAGTGCTCGGCCTCTTTTGCTTTTTTTAAAAAACAAAACCCGAAAAAACAAAAAACAGGCTGCTTGTTTTCTTCTTACTGGGTTGTAAGAATTCTTTAATCTGGATATAAGCCTTCTGTCTAATACATATTTTACAGGCTTTTCTCCCAGTCTTGCTTTTTCATTTTCTTATTTATATCCCTTGAAGAGCAAGAGGTTTTAATTTTGATGAGCTCTATTTTTATCAGCTTTTCTAGTTTGTGCTATTTTTGGTTAAAAAAAATTTGGCTAACCCAGTATCATCGAGATTATCTCCTATATTTTCTTCTAAATAGTTTTTACACTTTCATATATGTTCGTGGTTTATTTCAAGTTAATTTTTGAATACTGTTGAGGTAAAGGCCAAGGTTTAATATAGATATAGATACCATATAGATACCTAGTTATTTCAGCACCATTTGTTGACAAGACTGTCTCTCCCCACTTCAATTATGTTGGCAACTTTGAGCCTATGAAATCTTGCTATCATTTGCAACCATCTTTTTTCAGCAAGAATCTAAGGCCGACAACAGAGCTTATTCAAATATAAATAAATCCGTTTTGTAATCTCACTCTTGAGTACTATATAATTTAGGAGGTTGTGGCAATAAAGAAGGGAACTGCCTTTCAGGGCTAATTCTAACTAATAAAGAAGTACGTGTTGGTAAAGTAGAAGAGATGGTAACTTCCTAGAATTTCTACTTGTAAAGGAAAAACATTGTTCATACCCAGTTAGTGATATGTGATTTACTTTAGGAAAATGAATTAGAAACATATTAAATGTGGGCTTGATTACCACAGACTGAAAGGAAAATTGGATCAATATAAGAAAAATCTACAGTGACTACTTATACTCATGAGAAAGAAAAGATAAAGAACTATACATAAAATAAAGTAGCTGCTTAGGGTGCTCTTTGAGTTCACATTTAAAAAGAGTTTGGGTGAAAGGTGGGAGAAAAGGCTTATCACCAATAGGGAGTGAAAAAAGTAGTAGATACTTAAACATAGCATCAGGAAAAGTAAAAACTGAATGAGTTGATATCTGTGAACAGTGTGGAGTCTGATAGAACACCTTCAAAAACTTATTTTGGATTCTACAGATCAATAATAACTAGATAGGCCTGCTGTTTGGAACATATCATATAATGTAAACATAAAGAAAGCATGTATGTCCTGGACTCTTTTGCTTCCATCTGTTTTTGTTGTTGTTGTTCTTTTTATCGTAAAATTATCTTTGAACAGAAAAGAGAATGGACAGAAATGAGAGGTCATTGAGGCTCAAGGTCGGTTAGGAGATAATAAACCATTTAAATTTAGGTCTTTAGGATTAGATGAGCTGTTGTCTTAGACTGTCTATTTTAGAGTAATTTAATAGTCTTTTAAGGGTAGTAAAATATGGAAAAGGTACCAGAAGACTAGACTCCGAAGAGAAGCATGGGTAGATTCTGGTAACTAGAAACTATTGGACTTCATGCTAATCCTAATCAGAATTCGAGCTTAGTTTTATTAAATCATGGTTTATGAATGGGTTTAAAAGGAAATAATGGTCTTTAGGGACTTTTCTGGGTATAATAGCACTAATACAACTTCCTTTTTTTGTTATTACTTAACAGGCAACCTAAAGAAATGTTGGAGATAAGTTTTATTTGAGTGTTAGAAAGGTATACATGTCTTCTATGATCCTACCATAGACTAGAAGAACAAATGATGGTTGGAGGATATAGGTCATATATAGATTTTATAATTGATTGATAGACCATAGTTAAATTAATTTGTTGATGTTTATCAGAATGAAAGTCTTTGCCAGTGGGTCCTAGGATCTTAGCTTATTCAGCAGTTTTTCAGTGGCTAGGGTGAAAATTTAGTTACAATTGTTGGATTTATGAAGGGAAGGAGATAGGTACAAAGTTGATAGAGATAGCTAAAGTAAGGTTATGAAATTAAGATTTACAAAGATCTTTATAGGATAGTCATGGACCAAAATGGAAAATGAGTTAATTAAAAATAATAAAATGTCAAGCTCTGTATTGAGATTGAGAAAGCTTCTAAGAGAGGTCTGAGATATTTTAATTAAGTATGTGCTAATAAGAACCCATTAAATTGACTTAACAGCCAGAAAATAAAAGTGGATATTTGTTTGCAGATCAAAGGAGGTAATAGTGCTGCTGTTCTCCCACCAAACCTTTTCCGGGGTATCATGTTGAATTTGGGGCATCAAATTTCAAAGGGGACTTTAGTAAATGTCATGTGTTAGACAGTGTGAATATGTCAGAGTTTTGTATTTACAGGCCTCTCATGTGGAAAAGCCTAATTTTGTTTAGAACTAAAAGGAAGACATTTCTATTAATAATTAGAACACTTCAAGCTGGAATGGGCTGACTTGTGAGATTTTCATTTCTGGAAGCCTTAAGGAGAAATTGAGTGATCACTTATTAAGAGATGTTATCGAGGGGATATCATCATTTGTGAGAGGTTGAGCTTTAAGTTTCCTTCCAATTTTTTAACTTTTTAAGAATTAATTTTTAAAATTAATTTTTAACTTTAACTTTTTAAAAATCCAGTCCGTTTTGTCCTCAAGACTTTACTCCTAACAAATGCCTTGTATTTATATAGCACTTTAAAGTTTTGGCTGGGTGCAGTGGCTCATGCCTGTAATCCTAGCACTTTGGGGAGGCCAAGGCGGGCGGATCACGAGGTCAGGAGATCGAGACCATCCTGGATAACACGGTGACACCCCGTCTCTACTAAAAATACAAAAAATTAGCTGGGCGTGATGGCGGATGCCTGTAGTCCCAGCTACTCGGGAGGCTGAGGCAGGAGAATGGCGTGAACCCCGGGAGGCGGAGCTTGCAGTGAGCTGAGATCGTGCCACTGCACTTCAGCGTGGGCGACAGAGTGAGACTGTCTCAAAAAAAAAAAAAAAAAGTTTTAAAATGCTTTATGAGCTTGATTAAATGTGATCTTCACAAGAATTTTATGAGCTGGGCAGGAAATATTTTATAATTATCAGGCAGCTGTAGTGTAATGATTTTGAGAATGGGTTCTGGATCCCAACTGTGTTCACATCCCGCTCTGCCGCCTGCTGTGAGACATTTGGAAACTTCAGAGCGCCTCCCTTTCCTCATCTGTAATTTGGCAGCGATAATAGTGACTACACCATAGGGTTGTTTGAGTTTACGTATGACAATATGCTTGAGAAAATATGCTTAGAACACTCCAACCTGCTCCAAACAGTGCCTGACTTAGTGGACATTGAGCCCCTGTGAGTTCACGCTCTTATTGTGTTGTCATCATTGTTTTTCTTTTATAGATTATGAGACTGAAACTTGTGCAGGTTGTGACTTGCCCAAGTTTACATCAATAATAAGTAGTAAAGAAGTTATTAGGAATTCTGTTGAATCAGATGAAAACAAAAATGAAGTAAAGTTAATGGTATATGGAATAATTTTGTGAAATAGTATTGATTTGTTAAATGAATCAGATTATGAAATTATTGGCTGTCGATTTGGGGAAAATTAAAGTTTGCATGTGTTTACAGATATCCACACATTCCAGACATTATTTGTTAGAAAAGTTGTTTCTAAAGCGTATATCAATAAAGAAACCACATTTTCCAAAAGATTTTTGCTTGATAGTGTTTAAAAGGAAGTAGGCAATTAACTTTGGTTTCTGTTTGCATTCCATCATACTTGCCAGGCAGTTTAAGCTTCTGATTTCTAGATGTGCTTAGATTTGTAGAAGAACAGAAAGCCAACTGAAGGCAAGTCCTATAAGAAAAATCCAAATTGCTTTGGGAGGCCTGGCTGGGCGGATCATGAGGTCAGGCGTTTGAGACCAGTCTGGGCAATATGATGAAACCCCTTCTCTACTAAAAACAACAACAACAACAACAACAACAATTAGCCGGACATGGTGGCGGGCACCTGTAGTCCCAGCTACTTGGGAGGCTGAGGCAGAAGAATTGCTTGAACCTGGGAGGCGGAGGTTGCGGTGAACCTAGATCGTGCCACTTCACTCCAGCCTGGGCGACAGATCAAGACTCCGTCTGAAAAAATAAAATAAAGAAAAATCCAAATTGTCTCTTATTTATAATATTACAATAAACAAAGAATGATCTTGCTGAAATTCTACCCTTACTTCAGATAATCACCTTTTCTAATTAAGTCATTAACTTCTCTTTAGTTTTCTATTCATGTTAGAAACAGTTTATAGTTTACCTTTCTCTCACTGCTGGTATGGTCCTGTGGTGAACACATCTCTTATGGTAAGGATTTAAAAATTCATTTGCAAGGTTATAAGCATCTTGAAGGCATATCTTGTCTTGATAAACTGTTTCTCAGTACTTAAAAAGAGCCTTGCACATAGAGAGTTTGTGAAATTGTAAAGCATTGATGGTTTTACTGGAAAGCAAAGGATCTACCAGATCAATGGTATTAAAAATCGTCAATTAAAGTAATTTACTGTTCACAAGGATAGTAATGTAAGCTGTTTGTCAGTAAGTTTATTAAAGTCTTTTGTGTATGTTAATCCCTCACTAACCTTGGAAGTTATGTTCTTGAAAGGACTATTGGCCAAAGTGTGGTTGGCAAAACTATAGTCAACAAGATCAGTGTCATATGCAAATACAAGTTCACAGGAGAAGATACCCTCTAAGAGGCTTTACAAGCATTTTTAAAAACAAAATACATGAAAGTCCTACAAGACATTCATTTCAAAACAGTCCAGATTTGTTAGAAATAAAAAAATCTCATCTGGTAGGTACATTGATCAGGAAAGTTGTAGTATGGCCTACTGAGGCAGGTTCTCCTGTAAATTTTTGTTACTTGTATTTATATTTTCAAGATATTTGAGCCAGTTCTGAAAAGCATAAAGTATAATGCCTTTAGCGTTTGTATTATCCTTTAAGTTTTGCAGCTCTCAGCAAAATGCTGACCCTTTTACAGATGACTGCGGTGGTAAAGGATATGTTTCTCTGGGCTGGTCTGCTGTTCACGCGTAGAGAAGGTGGAACACGGCAGCTTCACCTCTTTCTGCTCAGCACCCCTGCTTGCATGGCCTGCTGGGGAAGAAAGTGTTAATTAGTTTTCTTTTGGCCACAGGAGAGAAGTATTAGCTCTTTGGATTACTTTTCTTTTAGAGCAGTGAAGAAGCTAGAGGACATTCTCCCCAGAAAGGCTGAGGGGACCTTACCCCAAATCCTCCTGGCTGTCAGATCACTGGAGGCTGAGGGAGGGTGGGGCAGAGAGGGGAGGGTTTGCCTGTGTGGGAGAAGCTGTGTTGCAGTGGTCTTTTCCTTAGGAGGGATTTTTTTGGCTAATGTTAATTATATTTACAATTGTTTAAAAATTTATGTTTGTATTCTGACAAGGTGGTATGTGTACATAACAAAAAGTTCAGGATGTACTAAAGAGTGAAAAATAAGTGTCCTTTCTGTTCACCTAGATTTAATCTCCCCAGGACAACCACTGTTAACTGTGTGTAACTATTCTGAGCCTTGCCCTGTGTTTTTTGTTTTGTTTTTGCTTACAGTATATCTTGGGGACGAATCCAAATCAGTACATATAATTTTGCTTCATGATTTTTAATAACTGAATTGATGGGCTTTTATGTTGTTTTTGGTCTTTTATTGCTGCATTGTGAAGTTGGTCCTGCTTATCTACTTAGAAAATTTAGATTACTGGCCAGGCGTGGTGGCTCACACCTGTAATCCCAGCACTTTGGGAGGCCGAGGCGGGTGGATCACGTGAGGTAAGGAGTTTGAGACCAGCCTGCCCAACGGGGCAAAACCCCGTCTCTACTGAAAATACAAAAGGTTGGCCAGGTGTGGTGGCAGGCACCTGTAATCCCAGCTACTCGGGAGGCTGAGGCAGGAGAATTGCTTGAACCCAGGAGGATGAGGTTGCAGTGAGCCGAGATCGTGCAACTGCACTCCAGCCTGTGCGACAAGAGCGAAATTCTGTCTTAAAAAAAAAAAGAAAAGAGAGAAAATTTAGATTACTGTTATAAATGCATTCTATAAGTTCAGGTAGTTTACTGAATGACTTCAAGACAGTGCTTTCTAGGAAATATTTTCCACAGTGAGAAGGATGGCAGATCTTTCATGTAAAATGTTTTTATAGTCAGTCTCCTTGGAGTTGGTATTTTATGTGGAAATTGACATAATTCATCAAGGGCAGCATTGGGGACAAGGCTCCCCTCCCCCACCCCACACTTGTGACTTCTTCATAGAGTTTAACTCTTTGACTGCTATGTAAAAAATCCATTTATGGTCTGATTGAACATTGTGTTTAAGGTTTTGGCCAGGTGAATTGAGGGTGGAACATTTGGTTGGGCTACCGTAAAGAAACCTAAATATTGGGCCGGGCATGGTGGCTCACGCCTGTAATCCCAACACTTTGGGAGGCCGAGGCAGGTGGATCACGAGGTCAGGAGATCGAGACCACCCTGGCTAACACGGTGAAACTCTGTCTCTACTAAAAATACAAAAAAATAGCCGGGCGTGGTAGCAAGCACCAGTAGTTCCAGCTACTCGGGAGGCTGAGGCAGGAGAATGGTATGAACCCAGGAGGCGGAGGTTGCAGTGAGCCGAGACTGCGCCACTGCACTCCATCCTGGTGACACAGCGAGACTCCATCTCAAAAAAAAAAAAAAAAAAAAAAAAAAACCTAAATATTTTTCAGGATCCCCAGACAAGATGTTACCTGGAGCCTAGTAGCAGTAGCCCCTTTCCCTTTTTCTCATGGATCAGTTGTGTTTAAGAGTATTGTTTCTTTTAATATCTGGAACGTGATTGTGCAAGTTTCTCTGGAAATTTACATTCTACTACTGTTATTTTTCTCGAATATATTCCCTATTAGGAAGATAATATATATATGGTAGATTATATAGATGTTTCTTTTTTTTTCTTTTTTTCTTTTTTATTTTTTGAGATGGAGTCTCACTCTGTCACCCAGGCTGGAGTGCAGTGGCGTGATCTCAGCTCACTGCAAGCTCTGCCTCCTGGGTACAAACCATTCTCCTGCTTCAGCCTCCCAAGTAGCTGGGAGTACAGGCGCCTGCCACCATGCCTGGCTAATTTTTTGTGTTTTTTAGTAGAGACGGGGTTTCACCGTGTTAGCCAGGATGACCTCGATCTCCTGACCTTGTGATCCCCCTGTCTTGGCCTCCCAAAGTGCTGGGATTACAGGTGTGAGCCACTGCTCCCGGCCAGTTATATAGATGTTTCTTAATATTGAAGAAATATATATTTGGATGTGATTAGATTTGGTTTTAAAATTTGCTTTTTGAGTAAAATTTGCATAGTTAAAAAGGCTTACAGTTACCCTTATTTTGGTCATTCAAATATGAATGACCTAGGTAATAATGATTGAATACCCAGGTAATAATGATACGTTAGTAGTATCAAAATATTAATTAAATTTTTACTAAGTTATTTAGCTTTCTTGATGACCTCACACTAATTTCTAATCCCTAAATATTTTTCTTGTTTTCCTATATATACTTCTGCTCCTGCGGTAGATTACCCAGTTGTGAGGGGTGAGTATTGTGAAAAAGGAGGTGACGGAGACATGTTAGAAGCTCGGGGCCCTGTCTTTCCTACCCCACGTTACTGTCGACGCAGCTGCTGCTGTTCAAATAGCCATTCCTGTTGCTGGGGGTCTCTGACTTTTTATTGTAACATTGCAGCTTTCTCTCCTTGTCCACATGGTGAGTTTCTACCATGCTTTTGTTTTATTATTACTGTTTTTTGAGGCAGAGTCACATCCTGTCGTCCAGGCTGGAGTGCAGTGGCCTGATCTCAGCTCCTTGCAAACTCTGTCTCCCGGGTTCAGGCAATTCTCCTGCCTCTGCCTCCTGACTAGCTGGCACTACAGGCACCCATCACCATGCCTGGCTAACTTTTGTATTTTTAGTAGACATGGGATTTCGCTGTGTTGGCCATGCTGGTCTCAAACTCCTGGCCTTAGGTGATCTACCTGCCTCGGCCTCCCAAAGTGCTGGGATTACAGGCATGAGCCACTGTGCCCAGCCTCTACCATGCTATTTTAGGACCTGGATCAAACGTTGTTTTGTACCTAAAACTTTTTTCTGACTTTGCTTTTTTTCTATCAGCTTTTTTGTAGCATTTAAAAAACATCTATTAAAGAGCATTTTTCACATTATTTACAGTTGGTCTTTATGTGTCTGATTCCCTCAGGAATGTGATCTTTTTGAGGAACTGTTTTATCTGTCTTTGTATTACGTGATAGCTAGGTGCAGTGGCAGTAAATGGTGTTCAGTACTTTCTGAATTAATGAATATTAGAAAGTTTAATTCATCTCATTTCTCCAAGGAAAAGCTGGTCTTTATATTCTTCATCTGATTGTCATTCACTTAATGATTGGCCAGTCGGTATTCCAAGTGGAACTTTCAGGTATCCATAGAGATAGGGCAGAATTATTTGATTATATAATTTGCTTTAAAAATTGTCCTACAGCTTTCCATCTAAAACCTTATAAGAATACCGAGGAGCAAGTTTTCCTTTCTAGTCACCGTACTATGTTATAGAAAAGGTAAAATGTATTTGGAAAATTAAAAAAAATTTTTTTCTAACTTATAGTGTCAGTGTCATCTGTCTTTAGTGCATTTCATTCCAGTGTCTTTTCTGTCTGTGGCTTTTCTTGTTTAATTTTGTTTTGTTTTCCACAGTAGGTAGATGATTTATTGCTTGATATTGGAGTAACTTTAGGCTTCAGATGGCTCAGTTCTGGTGAAATCCATTATTTAAGATCTGTGCACATCTAGGGAGGTTGCTCTGTCTCACAGTGAAAAACACTTACGGCTTTCTATTGACTTGAAGGCATTTCCTTGCCTCTTGCCCTTATTTAATGCTAGAGGATCCTTGTTGACAGATTCTCTTGTTAAGCCTTTGTTCATTTGCTTGCGATTTTATTTATTCAAAGCCTTCTTGCATTGTTCCAAGTGCCACTTCTCTAACTTAAGAACTGTGTGATCTTTGCAGTTAACCTACCAATTTTCTCATTTGTTTAATGGGCAATAATGATACCTACCTCGTAGTTTTGATGTGGGGAGACTAAATGAGGTAATATACATAAAGCATTTGGATTGTACAGAATAAATGCTGGTTACTGCTTATCACTCAGGTTCTTAGTTGCTACTTAATTCATCTGGTCTCCTGAAGAGTGACATACATATATATATATATATATATATATATATATATATATATATATATATGGCACTATTGATGTTTGTTATATAAAATAAATCTTACTTATTATATAAGTTATCCTAACACAACATTATTAGCACAATAACAGTAACAGAGTTTAAGGAATATAATATTAAACACATGCACACATGAGATACATATAACGCAGTTCAGGATTTGTTAGGTGAAATGTGTGGATTGCAGCTGTGTCTTGTGAGAATTCTGTGGTACTGTGCTTGGAGCTTAGGGTACCTTACAAAAATGATTGAATGAGTGACACTTTTAGTGTGATATGAGCACTTTTATTTATTAAATCCCATTCAGTGTTACCAAATTGCTGGCTTTTGATGGCCTTATGGTCAAATTTGAACCCAAGGGCCATTCAGGGACCCAGTAATACTTACATAACTCAAAGGATGATAACATAGTTCTTCCTGTGTGCTTCTCAGTTGTTCTAGGCAATACCTCGTTCTTGTTTTTGAGTGTCATTTTAGGCACAGTTTGGCTTTTGCACATTATTTTTTATTTAAAGGGTAGAAATGTTACCATTGGGTTGATCGTTACCACTGCCTGTGGAATTAGTTATTAAGCATCAGAGTGGGCAGTCTATGAATTATCTTCTTATATCTGGTCTGCAAGAATTTGCTGTAATTAGAACATTTCTTGTTAATACCTATGGGCCAAATTCAACACAAACTTTTATTGTAGTGCATATAACTGCACATACTTGCAATTCTGAATGAGCTGGGAAAGAAGTTCTTAAAACTAAGTGAATGAAGTAGATTCAATAGAGCCCTTTCTGTAGTCATGGGAATTAATCATGAAGGCAGTTGCTTTAGTAATACTAAAAGGATAAAGTGTTTTAGTAAAGTTCAGTGTCATTTGATGATTATTGTGTCAAATTTTTACATGTTTCCAGATCATTTCTTGTTATTATCCTAAAACACACAACTTAAAACATAATATAGCAGGTCCAGTTGATTATGACCACAAAGAATATTTCATATAAATTGTTCTTGGATTCTTCAGAATACCATTCATCTCCATTTTGCACAAATAATTGACAATTTCATGTAATGAGATTGGAGGGCTACTAGAATCCAGAAAGTACAGCTGTTAGAATTCACAGGAATCACATAGATTTGTTTCTGTGGGAAGAAATGTAAGGACTAGCAGAAGTGAGCAGAAATGTATAAGATCAACTATTAATACTTACACTTCAACAAAAGCACTTGATGGTTAGAAACATGGCTTTGAAGTTGAAATTGGACAGCCTGGCTTTTAAGTCCTGCCCTGTCTCTTACTTCCCATATGGCCTGAATTACTTAACATTTCCACGCCTCAGTCTCCACATATGTAAAGTGGAGATAGTCATAAAAACTAACATAGGCTTTTGTGAGGTTTAAGTGAGATTATGCATGTTAAATGCTCAGCACAGTGTCTGGCACATAGTAACCTCTCAATAAACAGTTTATAAAATATCCACAAGCAAGGAGTTGTTACAAACCAGTCTTGTGTCATCTGTTAAAACAATCATACTGCTGCAAAAGCAGCTAAAATATAATCTTGACTTTGTCAGCAACTGTAGGCGGGTTGAAGTGAGTAAAGTGACTCATATGTTTGTCTTGGTTCTAAATATCTGTTGTTGGCAATTTTGTCATTCAACCCTGTCCCCAAATGTGGGATTGCACTCATATGCAACAGCTAGTAATTATGTTTCTCTTCAGTAGTAATGGTATTTAAATATTGTTACATCACTTCATATCCTTTTAAGCTGTGACTCATCTTACACATAAATGTAGGAGTTACTAGTCTGATTTGGTGGGTTCCAGGGAGTCACTAAGTGATACTGTTTCTTTTCCTTGAGAAGTAAGGCGCAGGAGACTGCCAGATGGAGATCAAATTGTCTCCTCTGTTGACTGATTGGAGGACATGGCATCAGATCTGGAGTGAAAAGGGCTTATTAGCCTGCTTGACTTAGACCTGCCCACTGGGTGACTGACACAGCCAACAAGCCTGGGCCTCAAAGAGCAGGCACCTTCCTGCATGGAGAGCCCATTAGAGAGACCAGACCAGGGGACACTCAGGGACAGAAGGCTGCACCCAGGGACAGGGGCTGAGAGAGAGCAGGAGGTGAGCCTGTCTTGCCCAGGTGCTTCTTTCAGACCATTGACCCCACATGTCCTTCTGCCCCTTGGAGAGGAGAGTGGGAGAGTTCAGGAGCGCTGCCCTCGCTGCATTTCCTCCACGTGACTTGAAGCGTGATGGAAGCACACCCAGCCACATGAGCAGAGCCTTTCCACAACGAAAGGGAGCCTGTGCAGCTCTGCGAGTAGGAGAGATGAAGAGCAGAGTGAAGAGAGGGTTGGAGCACAAACACAGCAGATGAGTCTCTCGAGCACTTCATCTTCCCGGAGCCCCCTATGTTATTTAAAATGCAGGTGAAGGACTTTTAGATAACCAGAAGTACAAATTTAGGTAACTAGATTGTGACTTCTCATGTCTGAATTTTAGTCTTCATAAAAATTTAAATGCTATCTTGAAATAGAATAAATGGAATAAATATATAAGAGAAAGCTAAGAATCTTTAGCAAAAGTATACTTTTTTTGTAATGAAGGTGTATATGGAAATTAGCTTGTGAGTCTGATTTTCAGCATACGTTGATATATTAAATTTTTAATTGGTTGGATAATTCACTTTAGTAATTAATTTTTAGTAACTTTTTATGCTTTTCAAGAAATATTTAATGAGCATCTACCATGGGTTAGGCACTGATAGATACCAGAGACACCAGGATGGATGAGAAACTGTCCTCTTTTCATGGAGATCATAGTTCAGTAGAAGAGACATGTAATACATATATTCAGTAAAGAATTACAGGTAACAGATGTGGAAATACAGTAGGTCAGAAGCAGCAGTGGCCAGTTCTGCCTTACTAGCAATGGGCAGTGGTAAGGTGGAGCATATCTAAGCAGCTTACAATTCTAGTTTTGATTAAATTTGAGAAAAAAAAAGGCTTCTCTGTTATAATAAAATCTTGTCAGCATTTGTTTCTAGGACTTTAAAAATTATTTTGTTTCCTATCTTTCTAGAAATTAGGAAGCAAATAATAGAAGCTGACCCAGGACTTGGTGTGAGAAAAAATTTTAACTTAATTAAAACCATAATTTAAATATTTTACTAGTTATAGAAATATTAAATATCTACCTGACGCAAGGTGCTCTATGTATAAAATATTGGCAATTTGTCCTCTTCCCAATGATCTTAAAAACATGTGCTTACAAAAACAAAACAAGCAACCTACCAATTATATCGACACTGTTGATCTTTTTATTTGCAGAATCAGGGGCAAGCCATGGAGAATCAAGGGGACTCCTTGAAGGGAGGCTGAGGTGGCAGCTGGGAAGCTGACGGGAAGGGAAATCATTTGGGCAATAGCATTACAAGTGGGCACACCCAGAGGCCAGCAGGTGCAGTGTGTGTGCCTGGTCCTTCCACCCCGGCAGTGCTCACCATAGGGAAAGGGGAGGCCAAGCTAGCAGAGCTTTGCTGCATCCTCCCCAGCCCCACTGACCCTACTTGCTTGGCAACTGGGCATTTATAGAATTTGTTTGAAGAGTGTATTCTGCAAATTTAATGAAAAAATAAAAAAGTATTAATTTGAAGCATGATACAGTGGAAATAATGGTAATAATGCTATTGGTGATACGAGAAATATTTTGAATGGGAAGGTATAAATCATATTTGTGCTGATAATGAAAAGTTAAAATTGAAGAACATTTAGGCTTATTTCTTTTGAACACTTTGATTGTATCAGATAATGCATACTTAAACTAGAGGAGTAGGCCGGGCTTTGTGGCTCATGCCTATAATCGTAGCACTTTGGGAGGCCAAGGTGGGTGGATTGCCCCAGCCCAGGAGTTCGAGACCAGCCAGGGCAACATGGCAAAATCCCGTCTCGACAAAAAATACAAGTATTAGCTAGACAGGGTAGCATGCGCCTGTAGTCCCAGCTACTTAGGACTCAGGAGGCTGAGGTGGGAGGATCACCTGGGAGATTGACGCTGCAGTGAACTGTGATCGTGCCACTGCACTCCAGTCTGGGCGGCAGAGTGAGACCTTGTCTCAAAACAAACAAAATCCCCCAAAAACAAAACCTGGAGGAATATGAAGATATGTATGGAACTTGTGTGGCTCTTCTGAAGAGAAAATCTGGGCATTTCTGAGGACTTTGTGGGTTGATGGCACTGGGTCTTTCACATATCTTGCTTTCACTGGCTGTCCCTTTCCTTGATGGTGATTACTTATACTGTTCTATAATTGTGGCTATGACCTGTCTCTTTTCTTGTTGTTCCCAAGTAAACATAAGAAAGAGGAAAGGAAGCCAAATGATTTTTCTAAGATTATATGCTAATAGGGGGAGCAAGATGGAGATAAATGGGTTTTTGAAGTTGTGCAGTTTTTGAAAAGGCATTTGTTTAATGTGGAATTAATGTAGTTATGGGAGATGCAAGTGGGATTGGGTTGGACCGCGGGGAAGTATAGGATTGGATTGTCAACCTTAAATAATGGAAATATGATTAAGTAGAGTTAATTTGAGTCCAGAGCTTGAGGATGGCCACCTGGGTGCATAGATTGACATTGTCCTGAATATACACTCCAATTAGCAGCAGTTACAAGCGGGTTTTTAAGGAAAAAAGAAGGGACTGTTTCTAAGATTTTACCAAGAATTTACATCAAAATAACATAAGCTATTGATTGTCTAAACCTTGTTCTTTGTATCACAAATTCCAAGAACATGAAGATAATGGGGGAGGCAGCTAGCCAGGCACAAAATGCTCTTAAACAGTTTTCCCCAGGCATGGGAGGATCCATAACTGAAGTCCCATATGCACATCTCTCTGGGCCTGATAGATTTTGTGGACCTCACAGAGCTCAGACTGCTCTGAGCTATTTTTCTTAGGATTCTAGATGATCTCCCAATAAAGGGAAATAAAAGGGTCAAGAGGAGGTACTGGAACAGTTCTTCCTACAGGACCACCAGTGGTAGGGTGGCTTAGGCTTTCCCAGGGTGCTATTTCAGAACAAGATGTTTTAGGGGGAGAGCTGGTGTATGTAGCCTTTAGGTTCCCATATTTCATCTTGACCAGAGTGACCAGTCAAAATAAGTGGTATTTCAGACTCTTGTTGCAGATGTACCTTCCTTTATTTTTTGTGTTTTTAGTTGTGCTTTGATGTTAATCTGCTTCACTGCTCATTCCTCCTCTGAGCATTCCTTCCAGCCTTGGATCTAGAGCATGGCAAAATTATAATGGCATTTTTATCAATGGTGTTTATTAAGATTTCCACATGTAAAATAATCTTTATTCTTAATATATCTTAATCTGTGGTACAGTGAGGAAGTGATCACAAATACGTTTACTAAGATTTCAACATTTAAAAATAATCTTTTTTCTTGATGTATCTTAGTCCATGGTTCAGTGAGAAAGTGGTCACAACTAAAAACGTAACTAAGAGGCGCCAGTGAATTTGGTTGAAAGACACAAATAACTTATTCAGATTATTGTAAGGAAAAAAGAGCATTTGCTGTCTGAATTCGTTATACTAGAAATGAAAGCCATCAGGAACTGAAGCATGAAGCAGCTTTGGGGTGGGCTATTCAGTCTCTTTTGGGCTAAAAGGTCTCTTGTGGTGACTGCTTTGCTCTGCATCTCAGGTGCTGTTTCCTTCTCTGTACCAGCTACTTTTCCCTGCTTACTGGTAGTTTTTGCTTCCTCATTTTTTCAGCTTGCCTTTGGTCATCATTGCCTATTAAGCTCTTTATTGCATGGTGCTTCGTCTTTAACTCCCACTGCAAGTTGATCCATTCTCTAAGTTTCTCTTAGTTCATTCCCACAGAGAAGGGCTGGTTGAATAAATTATACTAATACTTTAGGGTGCTGTAAATCTGTGGAAAAGGTTGAGGTAGACCCACTGGGGTACTGGAGAAACTGCACTCAGTGACATCACTTTGGCAGCTTGGAAACTGGCCACCATAGCTTGAGTATTTGCCACATGGAAATCTGCAGATGCCACAAACAGGGCCCATTGCCTCTGCCTCTTCCCCCAGAAATGGTTGTTAACCTTTAGGGGCACTGCCGGGCAGATCTATAGATGTTAACCTATACGGTCTCCATGATGTACTGTTAAGTGAAAAAGAGGTGTCGATTTTAGAATGATTCTAGTTTTTGAATAAAATGGGAGATTAAATATTTGTGGGTGTTCATGAATACATGCAGATTCTTGAATAGTGTGGAGAATATTTTTGGCAGCTAACAATGATTGCTTCTAGAAAGTGGGGGCTTAGGTTTGGAGTGGGGAGTGTGTGTGCAGATCAGGGTTCAGTTTTAGACATTGTCTATATTTTATTGTGAACATTAATAGCCAATGCAGTTCTTACATAATCATAATAATGTCAATAGCATTTACTTCAGTTTCAAGTATTATGATGAGGTGTGTAGGGAAGGAAACATAATCCCTAACGTTGAAGATGTCAAGATCAGATGAATTCACTTTTCTCATATACCATCAAGGTCACAGCCATGTCCCTTTGTATTTTACGTCATGTCAGACTGACTTTTCTCACTCTGTTAATTGCTTGTCTTCAGATTTCTAATAGCCCCCTTACACTCTTTTTGATGTCTTTATATGTAAGCTTTTACTGTATCACTACTATACCCATGATCTTTGTGTTGCCTAGAATCCACTCTCTTCTAAGACACCTTATGTTTCCTATTCTAATGTAGACAGGTTGCTCTCTATGCAGCTACGCAGTTGGCATTTGGAAATGTCTAATTTTGGCCTGCGGCAATGTTACGGATCCTGTTTTTGCCTCTCTTTCTTATTTTGTGTAAAAGAATTATTCTGACCCTTGCTAAAAAGGGAAAGTGGACTTTATTCAGGACCATTGCAGTTGGTATCAAGACTGTTAAAACAGTGGAGAGGTCAGGCTCAACTCTGCACGCAGCAAGGACAACTGGAGATGGATAGCCAATGGGCAGAGCAAGAAGGTCAGTGATGGAAAATCACTAAGAGGAGAGACATCAAGTGTAGGGGGATTCTGGCTAAACCAACATAACAGGATTCTTGCTGAAGACAGGCCAGGGTGATCAGATATCAAGGGTGGGGGATGAGGAATCTGTTCAGATATGTAGGATGATCAGATTTCATGGAGAGTGGGGGGATTCTTGCTAAATTGAGTTAGCAGGATTCTTGCTACAACTGGGCTAGGCAGGCTGAAGATAGGACAAGGCTGAGGTAGAGGCTGAGGTAGTCAAGAAGAGGGCTTAAAGGAGCCTGCCCAAAGTTTGGTCAAGGAGCGTCTTTGTCAGTTCTTCCTGTTGCTGTTTTGTTTTTCTGTAGTATACTCTCAAATTCTTTTTTCAAAGAGACATTTCATAGGCAGTAAACTTTGAATCCTGTGTTTTCATGCTGCTGTAACAGCACATGACTTACCACAAACTTGGTGGCTTAAACAACACAGATGTATCATTTAATGGGTTCTGGAGGTCAGAAGTCTGAAATCAAGTTTCTCTGGGCCAGAGTCAGCAGGGCTGGTTCCTTCTGGAGCCACTAGGGGAAAATCCATTTCCTTGCCTTTTCTTGCTCTAAAGGCTGCCTGCTTTCCTTAGCTGGTGATGTCTTGCTTCCACCATCACACTGCCTCCTCCTTCCTTTAATCTTCTTGCTTCCTGTTCAGAAGGATTCTTGTGACCACACTGGACCCACTTGCATGATGCAGGGCAATCTCTGAACTCAAGATCCTTAGCTGAATTACATCTGTAATCACTTTTGCAATTATGAGGCAACATTTACAGATTCCAGGGGTTAGGATGTGGACATCCCTGGCAGGGCAGAAGGTCAGTCTTCAGCTTACCACACCTTGTAATATCTAAAAATCTTTTTATTTTTCCTCAGGTTGGTATAGAATTCCAAGTTCATGATAATTTTTTGCTCTTAACTTTGGAAATAGTGTTTCATTATCTTCTAGCTGATTAGAACTTTGGCACCAGTCTAATTCTTATTCCTTGGTATATGGCTTGAGAAATTTTCCCCCTCTCAACTTCTGAGATCTTTTGCTTTAGTTGAATGTTACACCTGGCTTAAGCTGAGCGTAAACTTAATTTATTAGTGTCCAGTTAAGTGTAATTAATGTCCATAGGCATGCCTCTAACAGGGATGTTACTTTTGCAAAATGGTTGCAAATTGTAGATTTTACCCATTTAAGAGAAAGGGAGAAACAATGAAGGGAAGAAGGAAGGAGTAAATAAAACAGAATGGAAAAATTTGTAGTGCCATCTTACAGTACTTGTAGTACATATTGTTTCATGAGACATTTGTTTTACTTGTATGTGTGTGTGGTTTGTTAAAAACGTCCAAAACCACTACTTTAGCATGTATTTTGCTTCCTGTCTGAAACGGGCTGAAACAGAGGCTACAATTTTCACATTAAGAATTATTATTAAAAATTACATTAAGATATAAAATGTATTTGAGGAGAGGAGCATTTCTGGTTAGCTTTAATGTTTTAAATAAAAATTTTTTTGTTGCTCTGTGACAAGTTTTATTTTTAATAAGAAATAAGAAAGTGGCTAATATCGAGACACAAGATGAAGGCACATTATGAAGCTGCTTCTTTCAAGCCGCTGTTTGTTAGCGGATGGAATGCTGGTGTAGGCTGGTGTGCCTCATAGTTGGGATGTAGCCTGAAAGCCGTGTTTTCACCCTCAACAATGATCAGCTTTGTTTGAAAATATATAGTCTGTGTAACCACAGCAAGGTTTTTTTCTCCCTTAGAAGAAGACAGAGTGCATCTCAAACTTTTTCTTCTTGTGCTTGTTTCACAGATAGTTTAAAGTAGAGCTGCCTCTGCCTTTCTTTGTTTTAGTTAGTTGCAGAATGTGTGAGGTACCGCCGGGCAGCACTCTTGGTGTGTTCGAGAACTATAAAATAATAATGAAATCTTGGAATAGATAAGTTACTCTATGAGGACTGAAGCTGTTGTTAATTCCCAAGGCCAGACTGATTATCTCACAAAGGGTAAAGTACTTTTAAAATTGATGTTGTTTATATTTTTAACGTTCATCTGTCAAAATGTACTCTAGGAAAAATGGTCTGCTGTAAATTTTATTTTATTGGAAATGAACCTTAGTAACTTTGTATGAATTTTTCATTGCAGTTTGGTGCTAATTTAGTGACATTAAGATACAATACCTGCTTTTAAAGCATATAATTCAGGAGGGTACTGGATTCTTAGAAGTTCTTGGCAGATTAAATGGAAAAACAGGTCATCTTAGAATTGTATAGTTGTCAATTTTTAAAATGCTTCTTAAAAATGTGGAGTTGTCATTTTCTTCTATAAATTGTGCTGAGATATTTTCCTGTATACTTGAGTATTTCCTACACACTTGAGTATCCAAATATCTTCTGATCCTTATTGCTTAAAATATGCCTCTTTTACTTTGAAACTTTGTTACATTAGATAAAAAAAATCATAAAAATAATTTGATTTAATTTGGCTTGGATAATGTAGTTTTTTTTTTTTTTTTAAACAAACATCCTGGTGAAATGAGAGGACTGATATTTAAAGTAGTTAATCTAAGCGGGTGCGGTGGCTCACTCCTGTAATCTCAGCACTTTGGGAGGCTGAGGTGGGTGGATCACCTGAGGTCAAGAGCTTGAGACCAGCCTGGCCAACATGGTGAAACCTCATCTCTACTAAAAATACAAAAATTAGGCGGGTGGCTCACACCTGTAGTCCCAGCTACTCCGGAGGCTGAGGCAGGAGAGTTGCTTGAACCTGGGAGGTGGAGGTTGCAGTGAGCTGAGATCATACCACTGCACTCCAGCCTGGGCAACAGAGTGAGACTCGGTCTCAAAAAGAAAAAAAGAAAAAAAATAAAGTAGTTGATCTACATATTTCTGCACATGGTTTTATTTTTAATAATAGGAACTTTTTCTTCAGCTACAATTATTTTAACACTGATTACTCTTTAATTACTGTAATATTTTGGCAACAAGTGGTATTGTATTTCAAACCACATTTTTCCAAATAAACTTTTATTTATGGATTTGTCATGCAACGAGAGCATAAACATGCGGTGTGAATTTTTGGGATAATGTCCTGATTAAATTTTTATTTGATAATGATGTGACATAAGTACCAACCAACACAGCTGCCGTTGTTTATAGGTGCCTGGAACTTTGTTCACATGTGCACACAGACACAAGACAGCTGTTGATAATCGTTTGCAGTCACTGTTTTGGGGCACACGGTTGGTTCTTTCAACAGAATTTCTAAATAAGTAATCAGAATGAAACCAAAGGAAGTATTCTAGTGTAATTCTTAATAAACTTCAGACCAGATAGTATGAGCCATAATTTAACTATAGCAAACCCTACATAAGGCTCCTGCTTCTTACTGTTTGCCTTGCAATGCAGATTTTAAAATAATGTCTCTAAACTGAATATTGGCAAAGATTAACATTTTCATTTAGTTTCCTCAGAGAAACAGATTTGGCTATATTTTCTAAAATGCATTTAGCTTTAAATTCACTCTGCTTTTAGAATACATACATTAATACTATAAAATTTTCTCCCCATGGGGTAACTCAGGGATAAGACATTTCTAAGGGAGTTTAAAGATTGAGAATTTATTTATTTGATTTAGAGTTAACTGTTCTGATCACTTTAAAGTACATCATACTTCTCCCAAAAAATCAGGATGCAATTTCATCCAATTCCAATAAGAAGTCCAGTATTTCTGGAAGTCTCTATAGACCGACAGTGATCTATGTAAAGCTTTATATTTTATAGTTTGCCACAATGACATTTTCTTGGGATATGTTGCGTCTTCACCTCTCAACCCCAGTCCTTGCCTTTACACTTTTAAACTTTCCATTGTTATGTTGGAAGTATACTTGTGATGCCTAGGACTGGTAGCAGGATTAAGGGACTGGTATAAAAGACATTCCAATAAAGCATTCATCTATTGAATTTGGCCTGATTACTAAAGAAATTCATGTTTTGCAGTTCTGATAATAGAAATGGAGTTTCATAAGTAGTCAGATTCTCTTAATTTGAATTTAATTTCTTTTTTTTTTTTTTTTTTTTTTTGAGACAGGGTCTTACTCTGTCACCCAGGCTGGAGTGCAGTGGCACGATCTCAGCTCACTGCAACCTCTGCCTCCCGGCCTCAAGCGATTCTCCTGCTTCAGCCTCCCGACTAAGCTGGGACCACAGGCAAGCACCACTATGCCCAGCTAATTTTTGTATTTTTAGTAGAGACTAGGTTTCACCATGTTGGCCAGGCTGGTCTCAAACTCCTGGCCTCAAGTGATCTGCCTGCCATGGGATTACAGGAGTGAGCCACCACACCCAGCTTGATTTTAATTCCTATTAATTTGCTTTCCCTATGCTTTGGTAGATGTGTATCATGTTTTAAAATTGGACAGCAGAAGAGGGAAAAAGGAACTGACAAAGGCTTGTAAGTCTAAAATAGGGTAGTGAATATGTATATCATTGAGTTGATTATCTCAGACTTCTGTTTGCATTAATTCATGGTGAAAATCTGAACAACTCATCTGTATTTTTATTTTATTGAATCATTCTGTTTAGTTATTCACACATCCCCCAAAGGAAAGCATATTCACATTTTGTAGTTTAACTGGGAAAAGCAGTAACACAAACATTTTTTTCCCAAATAAGCTTTTACAAATTTACAACTTCCCACTCTGTTGTTTTTACTATTATAAACAACCTTGCGCTTGTTTGATGATCTCATTGGCATAAATCTGTAGAAGCAGTAGTGCTGGGTAAGGATATGTCTGTTTTCAGATTTTTTTACACATATTATCAAATTACTTTCCAGAAAGATTTTATACATTTATATGTTTATCTTCATTATAAGGAACTGCAATGTCACCATTGTTGTCAACATTGAGTATTATCAGTGCATTTTTTGGTTAGTCTGAATAGGTGCAAAGTGATATTTTGAAACTTGGATTTCTTTAGTTACTAATGAAGTTGATTTTTTTTTTCTATGTCTTGGTTTTTCATTTTAGATTTTATTTTTATCAGACCTATATTTGGCTTAAAGATTCAGCAATCTGTAAGTCTTATTTTGAAAATAGCAGACTCCTGTATTTTTCACTGCCTGCTCCATAGAAGTAAGCACTCTCCACTGCCCTGGCTGATTCTTTTCCTGTGTGCCTCCATTGCGCTAGGTAACATGCCAGTATTGCTGCTTCATGCATCTTCCGTTTTTGGCATTTCTATTGGTTTCCTGCTTTGGAGAATGAGGGTTTGGTTTTCCACCCTGCACCCGGCTCTGCTACACACATGCATGTCCCTTCAACTTTCAGGGATTTGACTTCCTTTACTCAGCTCCCTTGTTTTTAACCCCACCTCTCCTTAGGAACCACCATTTGCTTTGAGGAGGGGATTTCAAGAATCCCTATAGTTGCTATTTTAGTGGGGTTTTAGGGGAAATGGAGGTAAAAGCATATGTTCCATCTGCCATCGGTAACTGGAAGTCCTTTTTCATGTCTTTAGTCATCATTTTTATAAAATAGTAATTAAAATTGTGGGCTGTGGAGTCAAGACTGTCTGGATTTGAAAACTGTCTTTGCTGTTTATTAGCTTTATGCCTGTGGACAAGTTGCGTAAAATCTCTAAGCCTCTTTTTTATCGCGGTGTAGGATTCATAATGATGCCTACCTTAGAGTGTCATGTGGTAAGGCAGGGTAAAGTGCTTATTAGCACAGTATTTGCTGCCTGGCAGTATCTTACTATCTGCCAGGCACTTAATAAGAATGCAGTATAGTTGTTACAGTTGTTACTGCTGTTGCTACTTTTAGGAATTTCTTGCTCATAACCTTTGCCTAGTTTTCTCTTAGAATGCTTTTTTTTTTTGGTAAGAGAAGCCTTTTATATAGTCTGTTATTGATCTTTTAAAAAAACTTATGGTATATATTCATACTATTTCATGTTATGATCTCGACTTTTGTTGTCAGATTTATGTTTTTGAAAGTCTCCTAATGTTAATAAGGATGAAGGGTGTGTGTGTGTGTGTGTGTGTGTGTGTGTGTCTGTGTGTGTGTCCACACACATATGTATGATAAAACTGGAGTCCTAGAGACCGGTTAGGAGATTGTTATAGCAGTTGAGGCTGTTGATAAAGGGAACTAAAAGGCTAAACAAAGACATATTTGTATCATGTAAAATAAATATTGTATCTTGTGCTAGTTTATTTTGTGGAGATCCAAGTTCCTTTACTTTTTAAAAGCCGTTTTGAATGTTTGTCTCTTCTACCCAAGTGGGCTTCATCTGAAAACTTAGAGCTTTCAGTTTCAGTTTCTACTTAACATCAATTTCTGTGAAATTTTAGATCCGAAATTGATTCATGAAGGATAAGATTTATCATGTCCTAAGTTTATGCCTTAATGAACTTGCTTTTTTATTGAATATTACATGTATTGCTATTACAAAGTTGTAGTTACAAATACTTAACTCATCCTTTTATTTGATTTTGTTGATTTGTCATTTTAGGCAGTATTTATTTTTTGTTTTATTATGTCTTAGTTTCATAATTAATTAACTTTACGATTCTTTCAATGACAATTCATCTAAATTTGATGTCTTCTCCACAGATTCAGACCAGGATGTAGCACTCAAACTTGCCCAGGAGCGAGCTGAAATAGTTGCTAAATATGACAGAGTAAGTATCCATATTTAACACTTTGGGTGAGTTTTATTAGAAAAACCATATAAATAGAAATGGATTTGCTTTTTGGAGGGCTTACATTCCAGAAGCAGTTTGTTTAACTTCATGGGGACATAGAGATCATCTTCGCTGACTTCATCTCCTGTCTTTCTTCATCCTTTTCTCCACTTCAGTCGGTTGCTATTCCTCCAGCACACCAGACTTGCTCCTGCCTCAGGGCCTTTGCACTGGCTGTTTCCTCTACCTGGGACACTTGTGTCCCAGATATTCTCATGCCTCATTGCCTCACATCTTTCAGATCTTTGCCCAGATGCTATCGTCTTACTGAGATCTTCTCTGACCTCCCACCTCCCTGTTTAATGCCCCTGATTCTACCCTCAGCACTCTGTACACCTGCCGAGACTCTACATTCTAGGCAGGAATTTCTTTTGTTTGATTTACTTTTGTATCCTAAATGCCTAGGACATTACCTGATTCACACTAGGCACTCAATAAATACTTGACTAAGTTAAGTATATGGAATTACATATCCGTTGCGTTCATAATTTACATCTGCTATTATAAATTTACCATGGATCTTAGATTTTGAATTTATACAAGTGTGTATAATTTCCATTAACGTTTTATCCTTATGTTGGTATGGAATCTGTTTTTTGATATTATAGAAAATCACAATTATTGACAATTGACATACCTCTTTATACCTTACCTCCTGAGGTCTATAATGAGTCCTAGCAGTGATTTATAAATGTCATGTTTTGTATTTGCATCACTTGCTTGTAATTATGTATCTGTTCCTTCTGATTATTTGTGAGGATAACAGGAGATTAAATCATAGAAAGTCACCTGCACTGTGTCCTGCTTCCATGAGGCATACAGGTGATGCTCAGCTTAGCAGTTATGTTCCCAGAGTTCATTTTTGGAACATCAAACACAGTTTCCTTCATTGTGATGAGGTTTTATTGTAGTCCATGAAAAACTCAGTTAACTTATTTAACTGCTTCACTAATTTAAAACCAGTGTCACTCTCATTCATTCCTGCTTGTGTGCATTTTTTTCCCCACACAATTAACACAGTCCAGGCATCGTGCTGGGCCTTGGGGATTCATAGACAGGAGTGGCAGCAGCCCTTGCCTACAGGATGCTCCCAGTGTACTGAGAGGAGAACACACAAGCAGACAGATGGAGGTGTCCACAAGACAGTTGGGAGTTTGAGTCTAAAATTTGAGGGATTGATATAGATAGTTATATTTGGGGTTTCTTCACTGATCAGTGTTAGTTAATAGCCTAAGAGTAAATGATACCTAGATTAAGAAGAGCAGCGGGCTGTGGACCGAACTTTGGGCACACCATCAATGACGAGTTACCCATGAAAAAGCCATTAGAAGAGTTGATGGAGCATGAGGAGACCATGAGAGGACAACGTCACAGGAGTTGGGAAGAGGGAGTGAGCGACACTGACAAGTACGCTTCAGAGATCCGTTAGATGAGGCCTGAAGAGCGTGCAGCAGGTCTGACTGCTGGAAGGTCATTTTTGACTTTGGCAAGAGTAGTTTCAGGCTGGCATAGCTGTGAAGTAAAGAACTAGACGAGGAGCTTCTCTGCCTGCTTCTCTAAGGAGTTTGCATAAAAAGGCAAAAAAGAAAAATCTCTTTCTCTGAGACGTGTTTGGTCTAGAACTGTAAGGTTCGGCAGTTTCTTCTGGAGTGGCTTTCTCATCCCCATCGCTCTTCTTTCCTCATTAGCTTCCCCAAGGAACCCTGGCCTGATCCTGGCTCAGCTCCGCGTCAGCTGCTGCTGACACACAGCATCTTCCAGAGTCATAACTAGGAAATAGTGTTTATCTTGCCAAAAATAGTTGGGTTTAAAGGGGAAAAAAAAATGTTAAGGCTCATAATGCCTCACTTCCAGCTCTTATTTTTAGTAATACATTAAAAATAGCTCTTATTTCTTCGTCCTTTTATTTTAAAAAATTATTCAGTTTTATAAACTCTGATTAACACCTTTTTTTGTGCCTTATTTTAGGGACGAGAAGGTGCAGAGATTGAACCTTGGGAAGATGCTGATTACCTTGTTTACAAAGTCACAGATAGATTTGGCTTTTTACAGTAAGTCACATAGATTGAAAGCTTGCTTTTTAGATTATAACGTTTCTGTGGTCACCTATTATATTGATTTTCTTTATTTTTAATATAATTGCTGTGAATAAGGAATAGTCTTACAATATGCGTTTTGATACTAAATTCCTAGGTTTCTTTTAACAACTCTGTGATTAAAATTTAACTGTTTAAGATATAATTTTTAATATTTTTTGCAATTTAGTAAGAACATTAAGTGCAGTA